>NC_000009.12:34403939-34555454 GCF_000001405.40 Homo sapiens | reverse complement strand
CTGTGTGACCCATGAGGCCTGTGGGCTAGGAGTGGGGTTGAGAGGGTGCTCCATGGGACAACCCAGGCTGGTTCCTGGGGGTCAACTTGTACCCCCACCTCATCTACCAGGCTCTAACTCCAGCTCCTCATGCCCCTATCCAGTCCGGCCTTTAAAGTGTGTAATTCGATTCCTGGGTGCCTGTCCCCCACAAAGCCTGCTCATGCACTCACATGTTCCCTGACAGAGTCCGGAGTCCCTCCCGCCTGGCCAGCTGCCCGCGCCTAATGCATTGCTAATAACCAGGGTCTAGTTTCACAAGCCCCCCTCCCCCGCTAACGAGCTACAGGCAGCAGCCCCGCGCGTCGCGGCGCACACGCCTTGCAGTGGACCTGGCACACCGCCCACCACACACACGGGAACATGCACACGCACGCGGCTCCCAGCGGGAACCGTACACCATACGTGTGTGCAACTAACATGCCGAGACCATGCGCAAAACTGACCCCCACACTGAGGTGGGAGAAGCAAAGTGTGCAGGCTCCGTGGCGAGAACATGCGTGGCCTGTAGTGCATCCTAGCCCCATTCTGTGACTCACTGGCACTGGGGTTGGTTAGATTTATGGTTCTTTTCAGCTGAAGTTTTGCTGTGAACAGAGTCTATTCTCCCCAGTCCTTGACCTTGGGGAGAGGCAGGTGTATGACTGGGAGGGGGCGAGAAGGGCAGAACAAAGAAAAACATCATTTGGATTTTCAGGAGGAAAATACAGATCAGGAATTGCAAAAGAATGGGCCCTGGGCAGGGGCTGTCTCAGCATGGACAAGAGGGAGGCAAGTACTGGGACCCAGCATGGGTTCCCTGCAGCTCCTGCGATGGCCTGGAGGGCGTGTCTGGCATCTGCTCCAGCAGACCACGGAGGACTCCCAGGGGAGGCCAATGTCAGTGACTAGGGAGTTCCTGCCAATTGAGAAGCCTTTCTCTTGAGAGGCAGGATGAAGGGATCACTGATAACCTAGCAAGAAGGATCCTGGTCTAGGATATGTGGCCCCGAGGAGAGCACTGACCTCCTGGGGGCCACATTCCTGGAGGTATGGTGCCCACCATAAGCCCACAATGAGGTGGCAATTTGATCTGTTCCCCGTGGCTCCCTCCCTGTGGGGAGAGACTGACGTGGAGATCTGCGGTCTAATCCTGGCAGGAGGGAGACAGAGCCGAAGGAGCCGTGGCTACTCAGCCAGAGGGTATCTTTGCCGAGCAGAAAGGGACTGGGGTGCCAGAGGTGGAACTGGGACCCTGGCTCCAGGAGAAGAGGGTCTTTGGGACCCTCCGATCTTCCAGGGCTGAGATTAGGATTTACTGAGCCCAGGGTCTGGGCCCAAAAGGTGTCTCACCATGACCCTGACCTTTACCACCGTATCAGGGCCACAGGCTGAGCAGGAACTGGAGGGGCTTCCTGCCCCGCTTGGACCCACCGCACATGCCCAGACACATACACACACGTGTGCATGCACTCACAGCCTGTCAGGTCAGATAGCCCAGACCCCAGTTTTCTCGGGGGAAGGTTGGAACAGGGACCAAAAAAGCCCTGAAGCCAGACGTGGCCCAGAGCGGCCCCCTCCTCCGCCCCTGCCGGCTGCCCCTGTTTACGAGGCGGCTTAATGAGGCAGCGGGTGCCACTGAGATGAACCAGAGCCCAGCCTGGGCCTGGAAGGGGCGCCGGACAGGCAGGCTGGCCTGGAGGGTTGGGGGAGACCAGCAGGATGGGGCCAGCGGGGCGAGAGTGGGGTGGCGATGCCTCCAGGAGGAAATGGAGCAGCTGTCCTGCGCCCTGCAGCTCCAGGGGCTGTCCCCCACCCCTTTCCGCCCCAGCAGGGTGATAACCACACTGAGGCCTTCCTAAGGGGAGGCTCAGCTGGGGCCAGGCTGGTAGGTGCCTTGGGCATCTGGGAACCCAGGCTCTGACCAGAAGCCATGGTAATGACAGTGCTAGCTGAAGTGTGTTTGATGCTGTCCTCATGCCTTGGTCCTCATTGTAACCCTAAGAGGTGGATACTCTCATGAATGCCGTTTTACAGATGAGGATGGCAAGGCATGAGGATGTTAAGTAACTTGGTCACCTCACTACTAAGGGATGGGGCCAAATTTGGAACTCAGGTAGCCTAGCTCCAGTCAGTGTGTCAACCTCCCCTCTCTGTGGCTTCCTGGTGGGAGAGGAGGACAGCATTACCATCTCCTCTCACCCCCTGCCCTTGCCACCTCCAGGCTGGGACTGTGGTCGGGATTCAGCCGGGCTAGGGGCTGTGAGAGAGCAGGGGCAACAGCAGAGTTGTAGGCACAGGGCAAAGACCTCCTTATTCTCCCCTGAGGTGTTTCTGGTCTCCTTAAAGATGTCATTACTCTCCTTCAGGGACAACTCCCCTCCTGTGGAGTCTCCTCCCTAAGATGTCCCCAGTCTCTGGCAAGAATATTCTCCATGTCCTCCTTCTCCTCAGGGAAGTCCTCACTGCCCCCAGAGCCCTTTACTCTCCTCTCCTCAGAGGCATGCTCACTTCCTCTGGAGGGACCTCACCCTCCTGGCCCCCAGGTGTGTCCTTACCCCCACCCCATGGTCTGGCTGCAGGTGGAGCTGTCCGACGGCACAGCACACACCATCACAGATGCCTACGCCGGGAAGGAGTACATTATCCAGGTGGCAGCCAAGGACAATGAGATTGGGACATGGAGTGACTGGAGCGTAGCCGCCCACGCTACGCCCTGGACTGAGGAACCGCGACACCTCACCACGGAGGCCCAGGCTGCGGGTGAGCTTGCTCCCGCCCCTACCTCCTGGCTTTGCTGTCCTGGAGGCCTGTGGTAGAACCTGTGGCCTGGTTCTACCCTGCTGCCTCCAGCCTCTGCTCCCGGGGGTAGCCACACTTCTGCCTGTCTGTCCAACTCCTGCCATTCCTGGTCCTTGCTATCTGGACATCCTTGGTAGGGGTCATTGGGTGGAGGGGTTATCTGTGAGCCTTGGGAAACAGGATCTGCCTGATGGGGGAGGCAGTACCAGTCTGATGCAGGAAGCAGAATGGTATGTCTCATGAGCCCCCAGATCTGGATGGGACCCAGCCCTGGCCTTGCCCTGAGTTTCCCCCATGTTCCCCAGAGACCACGACCAGCACCACCAGCTCCCTGGCACCCCCACCTACCACGAAGATCTGTGACCCTGGGGAGCTGGGCAGCGGCGGGGGACCCTCGGCACCCTTCTTGGTCAGCGTCCCCATCACTCTGGCCCTGGCTGCCGCTGCCGCCACTGCCAGCAGTCTCTTGATCTGGTAGGTTGAGTGAGGCTGGGTGGCAGAGGGAGCCTGAGGGAACCCCCACTCCAGCCCCCTCCCTGACAGGCCCCTGCCTGTCTCTACAGAGCCCGGCACCCCATGAGGACATGCAGAGCACCTGCAGAGGAGCAGGAGGCCGGAGCTGAGCCTGCAGACCCCGGTTTCTATTTTGCACACGGGCAGGAGGACCTTTTGCATTCTCTTCAGACACAATTTGTGGAGACCCCGGCGGGCCCGGGCCTGCCGCCCCCCAGCCCTGCCGCACCAAGCTGGCCCTCCTTCCTCCCTCAGGGGAGGTGGGCCATGCAGCTAACCCACCCACCAAAGACCCCCTCACCCTGGCCCCTTGGGCTGGACCCTCCAATGCCAGCGACTCCCAGGAGCCCTTGGGGGACGTGAGGGGAGCCTCTCACATCCGATTTCTCCTCCTGCCCCAGCCTCCTGTCTATCCCAGGGTCTCTGTTGCCACCATCAGATTATAAGCTCCTGATGCTGGGGGGGCCCAGCCATCCCCCTCCCCCCAGCACCCACAATTTTCAGTCCCCTCCCCTCTGCCCTGTTTTGTATACCCCTCCCCTGACCCTGCTCCTATCCCACAGTATTTAATGCCCTGTCAGTCCCTTCTAGTCTGACTCAATGGTAACTTGCTGTATTTGAATTTTTTATAGATGTATATACAGGGTGGGGGGAGTGGGCGGTTCTCATTAAACGTCACCATTTCATGAGTCCTTGGAACAGACCCACTTTGGGAGGGTACCCCTCTTCCAAGGACCCCACCCCATCCAGGGCTGGCGGAGGAAAGAAATTGTGGTTGGGGAAGGTGGGGAGAGGTGTTCAGCTTTCAGGCCAGTGTAGCTGGTAACAGTGTTGTCTACTTCTTGGGGGGTAGGGCTTTCCTGGAGCACAGAGTTGCTGCCAGGGAAAAACTGTGGGAAATAAGGGATCCCACGGGGGTATCCAGTCAGTCCTGGAGGCTGCCGAAGTCCTGGCTGGGGCAGAAGCCTTTCAAGGGTCACCTCTAGAACTGCCTTCCATGAGTGCTCAGGCCTGAGCCCAGTGCACAGGGCTAGGGATGATGGCAGAAGGGGAGGGGCAGGCTTCATCCTTGGGGCCAGGGGGTGTGCGTGATCCCTGCCATCCAAGAGATAGTCCAGGGGTGCTAGAAGGTCAGGCCTAGGGCTCAGCCAGGCCACAAGGGCTCAGAGCACAGAGTGTCCTGGGCCTAGGCAGGCAGGGGGGCTGCCTGAAGGAGGAGGCTGCTTGGAGTGTGACCAGGGACGGGACCTGGGCTTCAGGACTGGAATGACAGAGTACAAGGCTTACTCCCAGGGCTGGGTTATAGTCAGGACTCAGTGTGGAGCTGGAGAGGGTGGGGCTTTGGCTTTACAGGATGGTCAGTCTTTGGTCCAGCCTCAGATACTGCCCACACCCTTCCAGTCCCCAAACTGGGGCTCCGGGATCCCTCTGACTTCTCCTCAGAGGAGGACACTTGGCTGTCCCAGGCCTGCTTAGGTCCAGACCCCACTTATAGAAGCCGCCTTACTGAGCATAAGCAGGCATTTCTCAGCTGGGAATGCCCAGGGCTGGGGCCAGGTAGGCAGGCCATGTGACCTGGGGGCGGGGGTGAAAGGGGAGTTCGGAGCTCCAACCTGGGGAGCCAGGTTTTGGCCTTTCTCTGGGTTCCTGGAGTAAGAAGAGGTGGGTGGAGTCAAAGTCAGGTCCACACCCACACCCACCTGTGCACAGATGTGTCCTCCTGATACACTCCCCGTGGCAGGCACTGAGCACTACACCGCTACAGAGCCACCAGCCACCCTGATGCCATCACACACTTTCTCCCAGTTCAAACCCTTCACCTCCGACTAGGCTCCGGAAATGGATACCCCTTGCTGCGATCGCCAGGCCTCCTTGGGATCGTGCCCTGGGAGGGGGATTGGCAGTGCCTCAAGCACCGATGAGTCTGGCCTGGACAAGACACAGTCCCAGAGGTGGGGCCTGGTGAGGGGCTTCACAGTAAAATGGCCATCTCTTCTCCAGGTTAGAAGAGAGAGGAGTATTCTAGGTGGGAGACCCCTGAAAGCAAAGGCCTGGCGTCAAGGTGAAGCCTGTGGCTTTTCAAGCTGAACAGCCCCAGCTATGGAAGCACAGGGCTCTTCATTCACAGGAAGAGGCTCCCAGGATGGATATCCTGAGAGGTGGCTGTGGACCTGCTCTGTACCCTGAACCCTGAGTTCTGCCTGGGGGTCTGGTCCCTGTGAGGTGTGGCTCAGCCTGAACCTAGGCTCCAGGTCCAGCATGAGTAGAGATAACAGGGGGTCACCAACGGTCTCCCCCAGAACATTCCTGGGATGTGTCAGAACTTCTACCCTTCATCTTTGGGGTGGGTGGGATGAAGTGAGGAGTCTCTGGCCTGAGCTGCCTTTCTGCCTTGAGAGCCCTGGTCAGCCCTGACCTACCCACCGCCCACCGAGCTTGGGCATCAACAATCTGGCCTCCATTAGCAACATGGGAAAGCAATTACGTGGGGCCTCAGGAGGAAGGGGCAGAAGGAGGAGAGGGGGCCTGCCGGAGCTTCAGAGGCCAATGGAGGGGAGGACTGGGGCCTCTATCTCTCTGCCCCCAGCCCTAAGAGAGAACCTGCTCTGCCTCAAGCCCAGGGTGGCTGGAGGGGCAGCATCATTGCCTCTGACTAGACAACTGGCCTGGGCCTGCGGGTGGTCACCTTCCTTGTGGGTCTTGGGCCCTTGGCCTCACAGAGGCTGTTTGCCTTGGAGGGTCTCAGTTGCTGACTGTTGCCTCTCTATAGTACTGTCCCTTCACATCCAGTTCCCATGGTGGTTCTGGGGAGCCAGGCATAAGTGCAGACATCGGTCATTGGAGTTAAAACAGAATCTGGAGAATTAAAACAACCCTGAGGCGTGGGGGGAAGGGGAGGCTGGGATCCCAGACCCCAGGTGCATTGCACAGGGGCCCAGCCTTCCAGCCCCCTACTTCTCTTTGCTCCCCGACAATACACTGTGGCTGGGCCCCGCTCTGTGTCCTGGCCTATCAGCCCCCTGCCCACTTGATCTCTTCCAGTGTGGCTCTGCTCCATTCTTACAACTCTAGACCTGTCTCTGTGCACCCTGCCCCTCTCTTCTTGCTGAACCCATTCTCATTTCTATGTTGTTTGTCTCTTCTTTATTTATTTATTTTTTTTTTTTTTGAGACGGAGTCTCACTCTGTCTCCCAGGCTGGAGTGCAATGGTGAGATCTAGGCTCACTGCAACCGCTGCCTGCCAGGTTCAAGCGATTCTCCTGCCTCAGCCTCCCGGGTAGCTGGGTTACAGGCGCCCGCCACCATGCCCGGCTAATTTTTGTATTTTTAGTAGAGACGGGGTTTTGCCATGTTGGCCAGACTGGTCCAAACTCCTGACCTCAGGTGATCCGCCCACCTTGGCCTCCCAAAGTGCTGAGATTACAGGCGTGAGCCACTGTGCCCAGCCTATATTTATCTCTTTCTGTCCCATTCCTATCTCTGAATCTGTCTTTGTCCTGGTTCCTATCTGCATTTCTTTCTGTATGTCTCTGTTCCATCCCTGTCTCTCTGTATGTCTCCATCTTGTGTCTCTTCTCCTGTCTCTTCTTCCCTCGTTTCTATATTCATCCCTCTCCATGCTTGTCTTCGCATCTGTTCTTCCTTGTCTGTCTTCCCTTTTTCTGCCTTCTCCCTCTCCCTCTGTCTCTTGTGTCTCCATCCCCATCTCTGTCTCTGTTTCTCTCTACATCTCTGTCTCATGTGTCTCCATCCCCATTTCTGTGTCTCTCTGTATATATCTCTATCCATGCCTCCACCTCTGTCTCCCTCTTCCCTGACTCTATCAGTCCTTCTCTTTTTTGCCTCCCTCTGTGTTCCCACCCCTATCCAGACCCCCAGCCTGTGGCCGCAGCTTCTCTCCGGCCTGCGCCAGGGACTGTCCTGGCTTCTGCTGCCCCCTCTCGGCCGCCTGCCTGCCCTTCATTCCTGCTCCTAGGCTGGCAGCTCTCAGCACAGACATCCCACATCTGGTGCGTTCCCAGCAGCCAGCCAGGAAAGAGGGTGACACTAGGCAGGAATCCTTCCTGGGCAGCCTCCGGCCCTGAGAACTCCCCGGAGCCTGTGAGCTCGCTGCCTGTGTAGGAGGGAACTCCGAGAAAGTTCATTCTCACGTGGAGAGAACAGAATCCCCGGCTCCAGTCCCAGTCCTGCATCCTGCACCTGCCTGTCTTCAGGTCCTGAGGCCCACAGCCCAGAGCCACAGGACCCTGGGAAGGCGGTGCCTGCCTGGAGATGCAGGGCTAAGGTCCTGGGGGCAGGAGTGATTGGAATGTAATCTCCCTACCTTGCCTCTTCTCAGAGGAGGGGGAGAGGAAGGAGGTCTGAGGAAGGGCATCAGATGAAGCCAGTTTGGGGAGAGGCTGGAAGGGACCTGACAGTGCCACTCTGATGGGAAAGCCAATCTGAGGGTGAGTGGGTCTGAGAGGGCCCACGCGACAGGGTGAGCCTGAGCCAGAGCGGGTCTGGGACACGCATCAGAAGAGCTTTCGTTTGAAAGGGCCAGCCTGAGGGGTAAGCTGACCCAGGGGTGTCTGAAAGGGCCTGGTCTGGTGGGTCCAGTCTGAGGGGAGACTGAGCTGAAGGCACATGGATCCAAAGACTAGAACCGCCAACTAGTTCTAGTCTGCCTGAACTTTCCCAGTTTTAGCACTGAATATCTCAAGTCTCTGGAAACCCCTCAGTCCCAGGCAAACTGGGACGTCGATCACCCTGTTTGGGAAGGCCTTGCCTGACAGCACCAGTCTGAGTGGGGAGGCTGGTCTGAAGGACTTCTGAGGGGGGAGGGTGGTCTGGAGGACGTCTGAGCAAGGAGGCTGGTCTGGAGGATGTCTGATGGGGGGAGGCTGGTCTGGAGGATGTCCGATGGGGGAGACTGGTCTGGAGGATGTCTGAGGGGCCTGGTCTCATAGTTCCAGTTTGAGGGAAGAGCCTGTTCTAGGCCAGAAGGCAAGAAGGAGGTAGAAGGGGTCCTTCCAGAGGGGCAGTGGCTTGGGGAATGGCCACCAGGGGGCAGGACAGGTTCTCAGGAAATTCAGAAGCAACCGACCCAGAGAAGGAGCCGGACTGTGGGGCTGTGTGCAAAGTATGCCCACAACAGCATGTGTCACTGAGCCGTCACGTGCAAATGGCAGTGATGGTATGCAGCTGTGCACCATGTTTGTTTTACTGTGGCTAGGTGACCAGGGATGCATATGTGCTACATTCGTGTGTGATGGCGTGTGCCTGGTGTGGCCATGGCTGAGGCTTTACCTGCGGCTCTCAGGACGACAGCAGGAACACCTTGGGCATTACCAGGACAAGGGGGCACTGGGAGAGTAGCACTCAGAGGAAGGTCTCTGGGAGGGGCTGAGGATGGGGAGGAGAAATGGGAACCAGGCTTCCCTACTACACCTGCCCCGCCCACCATTAGTATCCCTGAGATTCCAGACCCAAGAGCTAAGTGCTTTGGTCATAGCAAGGGCAGCCCCTGCCTGGACCCTGCCTGCCCACCACTCCAGCCTCTCCCTGGCTTCTCCAGCTGGCACTCCTCCAGCTGGACTCCTCCTGCTCCCCAGTAATTGTTCCCATCCTCTCCTACATCCATGCCTTGGTTCATGCTGTGTTTCTGCCCAGATGCCCTCCTGAGAAGCATTTGAGTTCCCTCTGACTCTGTCTCCATGAAATGCTTCCTGCTTATTCCCTCTCTTCCTTGGACTGAAACCCACTGTGCGCTGAGGCCTAATTCTATGGGCCCTTGTCTCATCCCAGGAACTTGAAAGTGCTGGGGGCTGGGGCTGCCAGAGGGGCCGGTCCAAGGGGAGAGGTATGGACAAAGCAAGGTGGGGACCACTGAGTTAATGAGACAAAGTAACACCGTCACAGAAGCCCCCCACCCCACCTCCCTCTAATAAAATGAACACAAGCCAAAACAAACAAAAACAACAACGCTACTACAAACTCACTAAGTCCAAGCAAACAAGGAAATCCTTTTTATAAACCTTAAAATGTGACATGCAAAGAAACAACAGAAGATTCTGGTGCAGTGAGTGAGTAGTATGTCTCCTAACCCCATTCCCAAAAAGGTGAGTCCATGAAACACAATATCCTGTCATCTAAGAGAAGTGGACTACTGGGTGCGTAGGCAGGCTTAGGAAAAGTCTGGGAAAAAGCCTTTGTAAGGAGAAGACCTTGTGTTTCTCCATGAGACCTCAGTAGAAGCAAGGAGAGCTGCCATGGCTTGGTGTCTTCCAGGGGATGGGACAGGGGTTGGCGGGGACAAACCAGTGCCTACAGGAATGGGTTATGCCCCGCCCACCAGTTGGAACAAGATGTCTAACAGGGCCTCAGAGGAGGGACAGCACTTAGGCCCCATCAAGGGCAGCAGGCAGCCCTAGCCAGGCACCCTCAGGCCATAGACGTCACGGGGGCAGAGGTGGGCACAGTTTGAAAGCAACAGCCAGCGTGCAAACCATAGGCTCCAGGGGAGACAAATGGGCCCAGACAAGATGGGAAGGGGCTCCAGGGCCTGCACACCAGGGCAAGGAGAGGTCGGCTAAACATGGGCCATGGCAGAGAGGAGTAAGAGGAAAGGAAATGGCATGGCCTTTAGACACCAAGACCACGGTCAAAATGGAGGCAGGAAGGAGAGACGATGGAAGAAAGGAAAGGAGGAGGGAGAGAAAGAAGGAAGGGAGCAAGAAAGATGATGAAAAGAAAACAACAACCGATGAAGACCCCGATCTAGAAGAAAACACACCCAAAGGAATAAAAGCAGAGTCCTGGCAAATCTTTCCTTTTATAGAAGGCCTTTTTAATAGCATGAAATCAGGAGAACAAAGAACTCAGGCAAGATGATAAAACAATGAATTAGATGAAAGGGATATTAGAGAAGCAAGTAAAAGAGGACTGAAATCTTATTTTTAAAGATGTAATAAACTAGAAACAGAGAAACAATCAATATTAATATAATAGATATTAATAGGCTTTAACCATTAAATAGTGGTTAAAAATCAAAGTAATAGGAAAGGCTTGAGATATTAAGAGTAAATGTCGTGGGAAAAGATAAAGCTACTAAAGCAATTGGAGAGAAGGTAATAGGACAAAGACAAGCTACCATAAGCTCAACTATTAACAGCCCTAAAGTAGGGGTTCCAAAAATGGAACTTAAAATGATATTAAGGTACAAAATACAGAAATCTTCCCCTGAAATGAAAGAACTGAATATTCAGATTGAAAGGGGCATACTGTATACCAGAAAAGTTGACACAGAGTAATTGATATTAAGACACATTGATTTGGCTGGGTGAGGTGGCTCACATCTGTAATGCCACCACTTTGGGAGACTTAGGCGGGAGGATCACTTGAGCACAGGAGTTTGAGGCCAGCCTGGGCAACATAGTGAGACCCTTCCGTCTAAAAAAGAAAAAAGATACATTGGTTTAGTTACCAAACTTTGGGGCTAAAGTAAGAATACTTAAGGCACCTAGACAGAAGAAGCAAGTCATTTATTTACAAGGGGGGATATTCAGTCTGGTCTCAGATTTCTCCAAGGTAGCATTTGACAAGTGAAGACAATGAAGCAATATCTACAGAGTTCTGAGGGGAAAAAGTGTCACCCTAAACCGTAACCAACAGAGTGGGTGATCTCAATCATAAATTTGGGGGATGGTGTACTCATGAACCTTTCCAGAAAAGACAAAATCCATTCAGCCAAGAGATTAGTCAAGGTCAGGAGCTGAGGAAGGGAAATTCATGGTAAAGAACTGGTGGGGACATTAATTCCACGTAGGAATTAACCTTAATTCAATTTCAGCGAAGATGACACTGTGGGAATTTTCGTTGCAAAACACTGTAAATACAGTTGACCTTTGAACAACACGAGTTTGAACTGTGCAGGTCCACTTATTCACAGATTAAGTAAAATCAATAAAAGTTACACCAAGAGTGCCTGCCTCTCCTGCCTTCCTCTCCCTCTTCTGCCTCTGCCACCCCTGAGGCAGCAAGACCAACCCCTCCTTTTCCTCCTCCTCCTCAGCCTCCTCAACATGAAGACGAGGATGAAGACCTTTATGATGATCCACTTCCACTTAATGAATAGTAAATATTAATAAATTATTTCTTCCTTATCATTTTCTTAATATTTTCTTTTCTCTAGCTTTAAGAATACAGTATATAATATATATAACATAAAAAATATGTGCAAATCAATTGTTTATGTTATTAATAAGGCTTCTCGTCAACAGTGGGCTATTAGTAATGTCAGGGGAGTCGAAAGTTATATGCACAGTCTGGAATGGAGAGGTGAGGTAGCAAGGAAAGCAGAAGTACTAATCACATCTTCGTTCATAGCTAAGTCAATAAAGGGATAAAACTAGAATATAATGGTAAAATCCTACTCCAACCTCCTTTTCTTTTCTTTTTTTTTTTTTTTTTTTTTTTTTGAGGCAGGGTCTTGCTCTGTTGTTCTGGCTGGAGTGACATGGTGCTATCACAGCTCACTGCAGCCTCGACCTCCTGGTCTCAAGCAATCCTTCCACCTCAGCCTTCGAGTAGCTGGGACCACAGGCATGTGCCACCATGCCTGGCTAATTTTTAAATTTTTGTAAAGACAGGGTCTCTCCATGTTGCCCAGACTGGTCTCGAACTCCTGGGCTCAAGTGATCCTGCTGCCTAGGTCTCCTAAAGTGTTGGGATTACAGGCGTGAGCCACTGCGCCTGGCCCAATCTCTTAATTGAAATGGCTCTTGAGAGAGGTCTTTTAGGAATGACTACTCTTTTAAGGTGAAGAAATATTTCAGCTATTCCATTTTCGCTTCAGTTTCTTTTTTTCTCTATTAAACTCAAGTAAACGTACATTTTCTACTTTTGGTTAAAAAAATAGTTTCTTTTTCTTTTTTTTTTTTTTTGAGACAGAGTCTCACTCTGTCGCCCAGGCTGGAGTGCAGTGGCGTGATCTCGGCTCACTGCAAGCTCCGCCTCCTGGGTTCATGCCATTCTCCTGCCTCATCCTCCCGAGTAGCTGGGACAACAGGTGCCCGCCATCGCGCCCGGCTAATTTTTTTGTATTTTTAGTAGAGACAGGGTTTCACCGTGTTAGCCAGGATGGTCTCGATCTCCTGACCTCGTGATCCGCCCGCCTCGGCCTCCCAAAGTGCTGGGATTACAGTCGTGAGCCACTGCACCTGGCCTAAAAAAATAGTTTCTATAGTATATCCCATTAGGACTATGAGAACAGTCCCATTCTTAGATATTTTTTCTACCTGACTGGCTCTCTCTCTAACCTCTCTCCTCAATTTTATGTATTATGTATATGGTTACAAAACGTAATACTGATCATTTCTGGGTGGTGAGGTTTTGAGTGCTTTGTTGCATTTTTCTTTGTATTCTTTTGTCTATTTTAGAAAACATTTATCATTTATCTACCTGTCTGCCTGTCTAAGGCAAATCACTTAACTTCTATGAGCCTCCAATTCCTTATCTTCAGCCTGGTAATAACAAAATTGGAGGGCATTTTAAAGACTGTGAGATAATATGCCACTCCCCTCGTGGTAGGCTGAATAATGGCCCCCAAGATGTCCACATCCTAATTCCCAGAACCTGTGAATGTTACCTTATATGGCAAAAGAGACTTTGCAGATGTGGTCAAGGATCTTGAGAAGACTATCCTGGATTATCTGAGGTGTGGTGATATAATCGCAATGATTCCAACAGGAGAGAGGGAGGCAGGAGGAGTCAGGGAAGACAGCAGTGGAATGATGGAAGCAGAGACTGGAGTGCTGTGCTTTGAGGATGGAGTACTGGTCCACAAGCCAAGGAATGCAGGCAGCCATTAGATACTGAAAAGGCAAGGAAATGCATTCTCCTCTTGGAGCCTACAGAAGGAACCAGCTCTGCCAACACATTGACTTTAGCCCACAAAAACTGATTTCAGACCTCTGAACAGTCAATTGTAAGCAAATAAATCTGTGTAGTTTTTTGTTTTTCTGTTTTCGTTTTTGAGACTGAGTCTCTCTCTGTCACCCTGGCTGGAGTGCAGTGGCACGATCTCAGCTCACTGCAACCTCCGCCTCCCAGGTTCAAGCGATTCTCCTGACTCAGCCTCCCAAGTAGCTGGGACTACAGGTGCCCGGCTAATTTTTGTATTGAAGCCACTACATTTATGGTAATTTGTTACAGCAGCAAAAGGAAACGAATGTTTACACCTGTTTCCTTGGCCCAAGGTGACCTCCCCATCCATCCCCTTCATCCAGCCAACTCCTACATGTTCAACATTTCACTCACGTTTCCCTGACATCTGCCCTCCACTGCTGCCCAGAGTGGGGCTGGGCTGTGCATCCCCCAACGTGGCACATGCCAGTCTGTGTGATAGTTCCTCATGGACAGGTCTCTCTTCCTCCCCGGCTGTGCATATGTGAGGATAGGCCTGGGGCCCAACAGAGGACTCAGCTCAGTAACTGTTAATGCATAGATGAATCAAGGAGGGCTGGGCGAGAGGTTGGCGCCTGATAATTACCCAAGACCCTCCTTTCTTGGCGCTAGGATCTCTCCCTTCCCTATGTTTACCTGGCTTTCTCTCCCACCAGTCTGTCCTCCTCCATATACACACATTCTTCCAATCTCTAGAAAACTGATCTGTGTCTATCTCTGACTTCTCTGACTTCTTCCTTTAGTCATTGGTCTAGAACACATTTGTTGACACCTACTAGTGACTCTGGGTAGGCTTATCTTTGCGTGTGTGTGTGTGTGTGTGTGAAAGAAAGGGAGAGATGGAGGCCTGTGAATCTCTTCATGTGTTTTCCCGGCCATGTGGTATGTGTGTAGTTGGTGTAATCATGTGTGTTTCTGTGTGGATGTGTTTTTATGTGCAGGCCTGTGTCTGTGGGTAGGCTTGTCTGTACATACATCTTTGCTTGTATGTATGTGTCTCTGCTTTGTGGGTTGTATGTATGCATGTTTGTCAGTGTGTGTCTGCATATGCAGGGAAGGACACCTTTTGATTTCTGCCCTCAAGGGGCTGGACTGCCTGCTGCAGGAGCTGGTGTGCCAGGATGACTCACAAGGATGTTAACTGAGTTTTGCTCCAGTCACAATCTTCCCTTTCCTGTCTCGTGCAGAAGGTCTGGTCAGGCTTTTTTTTTTTTTCTCCTTGTCTCTTGTAGGGAGGATCTCAGGCCCAAAGCTGAAGTCAACCACAGCCATCTTCCTGACCCTGACCTTCTGGAAACCTAAACTTCTTGAGAGGACTATGCTAAGGCGAAGGGAGAGGAGGTGAAGCAATCCAGACCCCCCGACACACACACTAAAAGACTGAGTCTGTGGTTGCATGGGCAGGGGGGACCCACTAATACTCCCTAATTGTACCCCAGGAGTGGGAGCAGGGTGGGCTTAGGAAGGGAGGCTCCTGGACATTGATCTCCCAACAGGGGCATCTCAGCAGAGCCCATGGGGATCACAGCATAAAATACCCAGGCCCTCTGTAAGCTGGGGAAGATGGGGTGAGGAGAGGGCCCAATCATGACCTATCTACTCGCTCCAGGGACTAGAACCCTGAGGGAGGCATTTATATTTAGTTTTGTTTTACCATTTTAACCCCCTTTTTTTTTTTTTGAGACAGGGCCTCGCTCTGTTGCCCAGGATGGAGTGCAGTGGTGCAATCATGGCTCACTGCAGCCTCAACCTCCTGGACTCAAGCAATCCTCCCACCTCAGCCTCCTGAGTAGCTGGGACTACAGGCATGTGTTGGGAAAAAGGCTTATGGGGTGCCTGCATAGACTAGCCATAAAAATATGGGACAATAAGTTGTGGAAAGCCACAAAAGGCCTCTCAGAAGGAAAGCCTCCTAATTGCCATCATGTTGCCCTGCTCAGAGCAAGACACACTCTCTTATTTGTAAACACTGTTCAAGGAGAAAGACACTCCTTTGAAACACTGGAAGGTGAACAGATGTGCAGGCTCCTAGTTAAGCCACTCCCACTAGCTACTCTCTGATAAGTTAAAGATATGCTGTTTGAGCACAAAGGAGATTCATTTAAACCGCTATTACTATAGATTACGTCTATGACGCATAGCCTCCCTTTCACTGTTTCGCCCTGAACATCTGCTTCTCAGATCTAAGTGATCGTACTCAACAGTGTGGAGACCAGAGCACTGAGCCTTTTGCAGCCTCCATTTTGCAGCTGGCCCCCGGGGCTCCCCACCTTTCAACTCTTGTCTCTTCTCAATCCTTTGTCGCCACCAGACTTCAGGTACCCTACGGGTGGTGTTGAGGCTGGTCCCCAACAGGCATGCACCACCATGTCCGGCTGATTTTTAAATTTTCTGTAGAGATGGGGTCTCCCTGTGTTGCCTAGGCTGGTCTCAAACTCCTGGGCTCAAGCAATCCTCTTGCCTCGGCCTCCAAAAGTGCTGGGATTACAGGTGTGAGCCACCATGCCCAGCCACCATTTTAACCATTATTATGTGTGCAGTTCTATGGCATTAAACACATTCACGTTACTGCACAACCATATAGTTTTTATAAAATAGACATTACTGATTTTGCACACCTTAGCACGCCTACCACTGGGCAGTGTCACTAGAAAAACACATATGGGGAGTGGGGCTGAGACTGTGGAGAGGCAGAGGACATCCCCTGCCCATGCAGGGCAGAGCGGGAGGAAGGATGGGCAGGAAGACCCGCAATGGTGCAGGTGCTCCTGAGCTCAGGAGAGGGTTGGGTGGGCGCTGTGGCTACAGGGGAGGTGGAACCACACAGTCTGTGCTTTGAAAGCCAGGCTGAGGTTCAGGAGCTTTTGCTCAGAATCAGGGGTTCAGGGAGCTGGAGAGACCTGGTGAGCTTTGTGTGTTGGAAAGACTGCTCTGGGGGCTGTGCAGAGTAGGGCTAGGCGGGAAGAGAATGTGGGACCCATGGTGGCTGAGAAAATGAGCAGGCCTAAGGAAGGTTCTTTGAATGATAGGAAAGGCCTGAGAGCCAGCTCTTGCTGTGTCCGGACAGGAGAGGACTAGGCCCAGGGCAGGGAGAATGGGGCTTTTAGAGCACACAGTCGCCATGTCTTGATGAGTGAGTGGTTGGGAGGGAAGGGAAAAGGAAGAGTCTTGTACAGCTCCTGTTGACTGGGAGGCAGCAGGACTGTTTATTGAAACAGCATGGGAGGAGGACAGGCTTTGGGCAAGTGGAACAACTATGGCTCAGACATTCACTCACTTGCCTATAGTCATATACGAAGCAATGGACAGATGAGTTCAGATGCAGACATGTCAAGTGTAAGACCTCTTGGGAGAGGACACTGAATCAGCATAGCAGTTAAGAGAATGACTCTGGGGTCAGACAAACCTAGGCTCCTGTTGACCTTGGGACAAATTTACAAGTTTATTAATCTCTTTTTTTTTTTTTTTTTTTTTTCAGTTTCTCGCTCTGTCACCCAGGCTGGAGTGCAATGGTGCAATCTTGGCTCACGGCAACCTCCACTTCCTGGTTTGAAGTAATTCTCGTGCCTCAGCTTCCCAAGTAGCTGGGATTACAGGCGTGCGCCACCACCCCCAGCTAATTTTTTGTATTTTTAGTAGAGACGAGGTTTCATCATGTAGCCCAGGATGGTCTCAAACTCCTGAGCTCAGGCAATCCGCCCACCTCGGCCTCCCAAAGTGCTAGCATTACAGGCCTGAGCCATGGCGCCCAGCCTGATTAATCTCTTTAATGCTCAGTTTCCTTCAGTGGAAAATCTGATAATAGTAACTACCTCATAGGGTTGTTGTAAGGATTTTTATTTTTTATTTTATTTCATTTTTCAGACAGGGTCTCACTCTTAGCCAGGCTGGAGTGCAGTGAAATCTTGGCTCACTGCAACCTCCGCCTCCCAGACTCAAGGGATCCTCCCACCTCAGCCTCCCAAGTAGCTGGGACTACAAGTGTGTGCCATCACGCCTGGCTAATATTTGTATTTTTTGTAGAGACGGGATTTTGCCATGTTGCCCAGGCTGATCTCAAACTCCTGGGCTCAAGCTGCTCGCCTTGTCCTCCCACAGTGCTGGGATTACAGGCGTGAGCCACCATGCCCAGCCGTTGTAAGGATTTAATGTATATAAAGAAACTGGCGTGGTACCTGCCATGTTATAAACACTCCATGAATCTTAGTTCTTAATGACAATAGCAGCAGCCACAACAACAACGCATACCAGTCTGGGACTTGGGAGTAAGGTCTGGGTTAGTATGAAAGCATTGTCAGCACAAAAATGGGCACTGGCTGGGCACAGTGGCTCACACCTGTAGTCCCAGCACTTTGGGAGGCCGAGGCAGGCTGATAACTTGAGATCAGGAGTTTGAGACCAGCCTGGCCAACATGGTAAAACCCCGACTCTACTAAAAATACAAAAATTAGCCAGGGGTGGTGGTGCACGCCTGTAATCCCAGCTACTCGGGAGGCTGAGGCACAAGAATTGCTTGAACCTGGGAGGCAGAGGTTGCCGCCAAGGTGGAGGTTGAGCCCAGATCCCGCCACTGCACTCCAGCCTGGGCAACAGAGCGAGACTCCGTCTCAAATAAAAAAAAAAAAGAAAGAAAAAGAAAAAAGAAAAATGGGCATGGAAGCCACAGACACAGAGGTGCTCACTTGAGTTGTGAGGAGAAGAGGGTGGGGGCTGAGAGCACAGCCCACCAAAGAAGCCGAGGAGGGGCCCAAGAGGTAAGGGAGACAACAAGCTGGAGTTGAAGGCAGTGCAGCAAATTTCGGTTCTAATCCAGGCTCTATCACCTGCTGCCATGGGGCCTTAGAAAAACCCCTTGACCACCTTGAGCCTCAGTTTCCTCATCTGTCTCATGGACCCGTCTTGCATCCAGGTGAGGATTATCTATAATGAATGTAAAACCCCGACAGAGACTAGGTGCTTAATAAAGGAGTTGTTGTTTTAGGAGGAGGAATAAATGTTCCCAGAGAGAACAGCTTCATGGAGGACACGGGAAGACAGAGTTTCAAAAGAGGACCAACAGCCTCAAGGCTGCCAAGTAGTCAACATAGATCAGGACTAAAAGGTATTCACTGGAAGTGACAAGGAGGTGAAAGTGACCTTGGTGAGCCAGCTTCAGGGATGGTGAGAGCAGAAGGCAGGGGCAGCGGCTGGGGAGTGACGGGGGGTGGGAAAGTGGAGCTGAGACAACAGGTGGCGGCTAGGCAGGGACACTGAGTAGTAGGTGGGCAGGGAAGCGACAGGCAGGGTTTTGAGATGGGGAAATCGGAGCCTGTGGCAAGTCTGCCTGTCACTGGATGTAGCTGCTCTGTGCCCACCCTTCCCCCACTGCGGAGGACTGGCTCCAGCCTTGGGACCATTTGTTCTCCACACGATCCCAGGCCCCTGGGTGTGCCCTGGTCCCCAACCTGGCTCATCCAGTGCTGAGGACAGGCACCTCTTCTCTTTGCCCTACTTTCCAATGTGGCTTGGGAAAAAAGTTGAAATGGTTCACACCTTTAGCCTGGGCCTTATCTCCTGTTCCTGGCCCTTCCAGCCCAGGGGAGATGGGAGATAGCTAACAAAAATAGCTATCATCAATTATATCTTTTCTCATGATTCCATCCCACCAGTATTTAAACATTCCATGTCAGAAACATGTAAGAAATTATTTAAAATAAAAAAACTTCCTCTGACTCTATGTCTTTCTGATCTATTCTCCTTCCTTCTAATTTTCACAGTCAATCAGTCAATTCTCTTGAAAGAATCGTCTATGTTGTATCTACTTTCTTTCTTTTTTTTTTTTTAGACAGAGTCTCACTCTGTCACCCAGGCTGGAGTTCAGTGGCATGATCATGGCTCACTGCAGTCACCAACTCCTAGGCTCAGGCAATCCTCCCTCATCAGCTTTCTGGGTAGCTGGGATTACAGGTGTGCACCACCACGCCTGGCTAATTTTTATATATATATATTTTTTGCAGAGTCAGGTTCTTGCTATGTTACCCAGGCTGGTCTCAAACTCCTGGCCTCAAGTGATCCTCCAACCTCAGCCTTCCAAAGTGCTAGGATTACAGGCATGAGCCACGGCTCCCAGCCTATATCTACCTCTTACTCACTCTGGAAACCACTAAACTCTGGCTTTCACTACATACCCCATTTCCATTTCCTACTGCCCACTGGAACTACTCCTTGTCAGGATAATCAAGAACCTCCTTATTCTTAAGTCCCACGGTCCCTTTTCTACAATAACCTCAACTGTCTTTGAAATTTTGGAGTAGTGACCCCTTCCTTCCTTCTCGAACCTCTGTCCTTTCTTGGCTTCCCTAAAATTATGGTCTCCCCCAGTTTTCCTTCTGCATCTCTGACATATCCTTCCTTATCTACTTTGCAGATTTATCTTTACCCTGCATCCATAAAAGTTAGCATGGTGGACTCCTTTATGTGATGTCTGGAAGGCATCCCCTTCTGGTGGGAACCATTCTTGTGGTTATCATGGAAGCCCTGGCCTTATGACCTCCTCAACAGATTACTGGTGCAGGGAATGGCATCTGTCCAAAGCCGGGCTGATGAGAGCAAGTCATGAGGAATTATGGAACTGAAACTTAGAAGGATAAGCTGGAGCTGGAACTGAAAAAGAGCCAACATCTTCTTGGGTACCTGGGTTGTAAGCTGCAAAGTTTGATAATTGTCAGGAGCTGGGTTTATTATTATGTAGACTAGAGAGGGAGGTTGAAGGATGAAGGAAAAGAGGGAAGGAGGGAGAGATCGAGAGGGAGAGAGAGAAGGACAGACAAAGAGAGAGGGAGAGAGAGGAAGCAAGCAGAAAGGCACGTAGATGAGCAGTAGAGAGTCCTGATGACATTCAGATTGCCAGATCCAGTTGTTCCCAAGTTCCAGCCATATTCTTGCACTAGGACTCTATGAAACAATATAGTTTTCTGAAAATAAATGCCCCCTTTGCCTAAACTAGTTCAAGTTAGGAAATCAGGTATCAGGACCAAAGTATTCTAAATGATAGAACTTAAAGTGAGGAACTAAGTCGAGGTGTGTAGAGGGGCAGTAAGAATCTCCTAATCCCAGCCTGGGAACCCGGAAGTCCTTTTTATGTCATAGCAAAGCAATTAGTTGAACTAGCACCTGTTGTCTCTTATGTCTTAGCTCATATGCTGACTGAAGCTGAAGCACTTGAAAATATGGTAATAGGCCGGGTGCAGTGGCTCACGCCTGTAATCCCAGCACTTTTGGAGGCCAAGACAGGTGGATGACTTGAGGTCAGGAGTTCCAGACCAGCCTGGCCAATATGTTGAAACCCTGCCTCTACTAAAAATTTAAAAATTAGCCTGGCGTGTTGGCGGGCACCTATAATCCCAGCTACTTGGGAGGGCTGAGGCAGAAGAATTGCTTGAACCCGGGAGGCAGAGGTTGCAGCGAGCCGAGATCGCCCCACTGCACTCCAGCTTGGGTGACAAAGTGAGACTGTCTCAAAAACAAAACAAAACAAAACAAAAAACAAAGAGAAAATATGGTGATAAAAAGTCAAGACAACAAAAATGAGTTATTCAAAATGGGTGGTCTGTGCACAGTTAGGGGGCAAGAGAGTAAGCATTTTACTTGGGTAAGGAAATTTGTTTCAGCCTTGACCTCAGATTACTAGGAGTAAGATAATTATGTGCCTTGCTGAATTTCAGGAGCTGGGTTATTTGCTGCTCTCTAATGTTAATACCCTGATTAGGAAACTGTGAGAGCCTAGCAATCATGACTTACACTGGAAGATTCGGCATTGGAAAGCCCTTCTTCTCCCCACCTTGCCAGGCAAATGTGATGGTGCCTCCCATTGTAAAGTGCATTGACTGGAATGGGGCGAAGCAAGGGCATCATTCCAGGGCAGGTGGAAGAAGAAAGGATCCCAGCCCTTCTAGTCCAGCCTACGATTTCCTATGAAGCCACAAGCCATAGTCAGATGGACTGAAAAAGACCCAGACATAGAGCTAAAAAAGAGAAATTGCTCCAAAAGTGTGCTCAGGCCGTGAATCATCTTGGTAAACCTAGAGATTCTAGAAGCATGATTCTGTAAAATTCTGGTATTGATTATGGTAGTAGAAATGTATTCATGGATGTCCTTCACCTTTCATACAGTTTTTTTAATATGGGAAAATTCCCATTTCAAAATCCAGCCTACTCAGTATAGTAAGTCAGAATTGAAATTCACCACATACAATTGTTTACAGGGATGATACTTCACCCACATGAGACTTCCATTTGGAAGTGAGAAAAATGAGTGAGGGAAACACTAAACTTCACCAATATTTCTGGGTCTCCTCTCCTTCTGAGTACCAGAAAGACTGTACTTCTCCTGTCCCTTGATGTCAGGTATGGCTGTGAGGTTTCTTTTGATCAAGGCAATGTGAGCAGAAGCCAGTGTATGCTTCTCCTCACTTTTTTCTCCTGCCACAGCAAACCCTGAAAGCTCATGTCAGGAAGGTCAAGAAGGCAGCATCATCACAAGATGGTGGAGCCTCCAGCAGCCTGGATGCTTGAGTGGCCGCAGTGAGCCAGACTTCTCCACCCCACCTCCCACCCTGCCCCATGCTGGAACTATAGCATGAAGAAGCAATACATTTTTTCTTGTTTTAAGTCAGTAAGATTTGAAGGTTGTTTGTAACTACTGTGTTACCTAGCCAATCCTGATTGATATAGGTAGGAAGCAGGTTAGACACAGAGCTTCGATTTCTGCTGTTGCCGGTAGTAACACAAGTGTCCAGCTTTTGGGGGTGGTAGCGGCAACAGCAGTGGTTTCCCAGTGGTTGCAATATTGAGTTCCTATCACAGAAGGGCCATAGAGCTTGTAAAATTGGCAGTCAAATTGAACTCTTGGTACTTAGTATTCGGAGTGGAAATGGCTGTGGTTTCCCCATCAGGTGTGTGGTATGATTTGGGTGTTGTTCTAGGATCTTAGCCTCAAGTCCATTTCCCCAGCCCTCCTAACAGTTTTGAGCTAAATAATCTTTTCTAACAAATCCTTTTTCTGCTTTATCCAGAATGGATTCTATTATTTGTGAAAAAGAACCCTGACTGATAAAATTACTATACTTAACAATCTCAGATTCCATTGATTATAAGAGGCAAGTTATTTTATAAACGACTATGAAAAAAGAGGGCTGGGTGTAGTGGCTCCTGCCTGTAATAGCAGCACTGTGGAAGCCGAAGCAGGCGGATCAGGAGTTCGAAACCAGCCTCGCCGGCATGGTGAAACCCTGTCTCTACTAAAAAATACAAAAACTAGCCAGGCGTGGTGGTGCACGCCTGTAGTCCCAGCTACTCAGGAGGCTGAGGCAGGAGAATCACTTAAACACAGGAGGCAGAGGTTGTGATGAGCTGAGATTGTGCCACTGCACTCCAGCCTGGGAGACAGAGTGAGACTCTGTCTCAAAAATAAATAAATAAATAAAAGAAAAAAGGAAGATGGCCGAATAGGAACAGCTCCAGTCTACAGCTCCCAGTGTGAGCGATGCAGAAGACGCATGATCTCTGCATTTCCAACTAAGGTACTGGGTTCCTCTCACTGGGGATTTTCGGACAGTGGGTGCAGGACAGTGGGTGCAGCGCACCGAGCGTGAGCCAAAGCAGGGCAAGGCATCGTCTCACCCGGGAAGTGCAAGGGGTCAGGGAATTCCCTTTCCTAGCCAAGGGAAGAGGGGACAAACGGCACCTGGAAAATCGGGTCACTCCCACCCTAATACTGCGCTTTTCAGACGGTCTTAGCAAACGGCACACCAGGAGATTATATCCCGTGCCTGGCTCAGAGGGTCCTATGCCCACAGAGCCTCACTCATTGCTAGCACAGCAGTCTGAGATCAAACTGCAATGCAGCAGCCAGGCTGGGGGAGGGGCGCCCGCCATTGCTGAGGCTTGAGTAGGTAAACAAAGCTTCCAGGAAGGGAAGCTTGAACTGGGTGGAGCCCACCGCAGCTCAAGGAGGCCTGCCTGCCTCTGTAGACTCCACCTCTGGGGGCAGGGCATAGCCGAACAAAAGGCAGCAGAAACCTCTGCAGACTTAAATGTCCCTGTCTGACAGCTTTGAAGAGAGTAGTGGTTCTCCCAGCACAGAGCTTGAGATCTGAGAACAGATAGACTGCCTCCTCAAGTGGGTCCCTGACCCCCAAGTAGCCTAACTGGGAGGCACCCATCAGTAGGGGCAGACTGACACCTCATACGGCCGGGTACCCCTCTGAGACGAAACTTCCAGAGGAACGATCAGGCAGCAACACTTGCTGTTCACCAATAATCGCTGTTCAGCAATATTCGCTGTTCTGCAGCCTCCGCTGCTGATACCCAGGCAAACAGGGTCTGGAGTGGACCTCCAGCAAACTCCAACAGACATGCAGCTGAGGGTCCTGACTGTTAGAAGGAAAACTAACAAACAGAAAGGGCATCCACATCAAAACCCCATCTGTATGTCACCATCATCAAAGACCAAAGGTAGATAAAACCACAAAGATGGGGAAAAAACAGAGCAGAAAAACTGAAAATTCTAAAAATGAGAGCACCTCTCCTCCTCCAAAGGAATGCAGCTCCTCACCAACAATGGAACAAAGCTGGATGGAAAATGACTTTGATGAGTTGAGAGAAGAAGGCTACAGACGATCAAACTTCTCCGAGCTAAAGGAGGAAGTTCGAACCCAACACAAAGAAGTTAAAAACCTTGAAAAAAGATTAGACGAATGGCTAACTAGAATAACCAATGCAGAGAAGTCCTTAAAGGACCTGATGGAGCTGAAAATCATGGCACAAGAACTACATGGCAAATGCACAAGCTTCATTAGCCGATTTGATCAACTGGAAGAAAGGGTATCAGTGATGGAAGATCAAATGAATGAAATGAAGCGAGAAGAGAAGTTTAGGGAAAAAAGAATAAAAAGAAATGAACAAAGCCTCCAAGAAATATAGGACTATGTGAAAAGACCAAATTTACGTCTGATTGGTGTACATGAACGTGACGGGGAGAATGGAACCAAGTTGGAAAACACTCTGCAGGATATTATCCAGGAGAACTTCCCCAATCTAGTAAGGCAAACCAACATTCAAATTCAGGAAATACAGAGAACGCCACAAAGATACTCCTCGAGAAGAGCAACTCCAAGACACATAATTGTCAGATTCACCAAAGTTGAAATGAAGGAAAAAATGTTAAGGGCAGCCAGAGAGAAAGGTCGGGTTACCCACAAAGGGAAGCCCATCAGACTAACAGCGGATCTCTCGGCAGAAACTCTACAAGCCAGAAGAGAGTGGGGGCCAATATTCAACATTCTTAAAGAAAAGAATTTTCAACCCAGAATTTCATATCCAGCCAAACTAAGCTTCATAAGTGAAGGAGAAATAAAATACTTTACAGACAAGCAAATGCTGAGAGATTTTGTCACCACCAGGCCTGCCCTACAAGAGCTTCTAAAGGAAGCACTAAACATGGAAAGGAACAACCGGTACCAGCCACTGTAAAAACATGCCAAATTGTAAAGACCATCAATGCTAGGAAGAAACTGCATCAACTAACAAGCAAAATAACCAGCTAACATCATAATGACAGGATCAAATTCACACATAACAATATTAACCTTAAATGTAAATGGGCTAAATGCTCCAATTAAAAGACACAGACTGGCAAATTGCATAAAGAGTCAAGACCCATCAATGTGCTGTATTCAGGAAACCCATCTCATGTGCAGAGACACAAATAGGCTCAAAATAAAGGGATGGAGGAAGATCTACCAAGCAAATGGAAAATAAAAAAAGGCAGGGGTTACAATCCTAGTCTCTGATAAAACAGACTTTAAACCAACAAAGATGAAAAGAGACAAGGCCATTACATAATGGTAAAGGGATCAATTCAACAAGAAGAGCTAACTATCTTAAATATATATGCACCCAATACAGGAGCACCCAGATTCATAAAGCAAGTCCTTAGAGACTACAAAGAGACTTAGACTCCCCCACACAATAATAATGGGAGACTTTAACACCCCACTGTCAACATCAGACAGATCAACGAGACAGAAAGTTAACAAGGATATCCAGGGATTGAACTCAGCTCTGCACCAACCGGACCTAATAGACATCTACAGAACTCTCCACCCCAAATCAACAGAGTATACATTCTTCTCAGCACCACATTGCACTTACTCCAAAATTGATCACATAGTTGGAAGTAAAGCACTCCTCAGCAAATGTAAAAGAACAGAAATTATAACAAACTGTCTCTCAGACCACGGTGCAGTCAAACTAGAACTCAGGATTAAGAAACTCACTCAAAACCACTCAACTACATGGAAACTGAACAACCTGCTCCTGAATGACTACTGGGTACATAATGAAATGAAGGCAGAAATAAAGATGTTTTTTGAAATCAATGAGAACAAAGACCCAACATACCAGAATCTCTGGGACACATTTAAAGCAATGTGTAGAGGGAAATTTATAGCACTAAATGCCCACAAGAGAAAGCAGGAAAGATCTAAAATTGACACCTTAACATCACAATTAAAAGAACTAGAGAAGCAAGAGCAAACACGTTCAAAAGCTAGCAGAAGGCAAGAAATAACTAAGATCAGAGCAGAACTGAAGGAGATAGAGACACAAAAAGCCCTTCAAAAAATCAATGAATCCAGGAGCTGGTTTTTTGAAAAGATCAACAAAATTGATAGACCGCTAGCAAGACTAATAAAGAAGAAAAAAGAGAAGAATCAAATAGACACAATAAAAAATGATAAAGGGGATATCACCACCGATCCCACAGAAATACAAACTACCATCAGAGAATACTATAAACACACCTACGCAAATAAACTAGAAAATCTAGAAGAAATGGATAAATTTCTGGACACATACACTCTCCCAAGACTAAACCAGGAAGAAGTTGAATCTCTGAATAGACCAATAACAGGCTCTGAAATTGAGGCAATAATTAATAGCTTACCAACCAAAAAAA
Source organism: Homo sapiens (assembly GCF_000001405.40). NCBI lineage: Eukaryota > Metazoa > Chordata > Mammalia > Primates > Hominidae > Homo > Homo sapiens. The sequence goes on along the minus strand of NC_000009.12, from coordinate 34,529,178 downwards.
GTCCAGGACCAGACAGATTCACAGCCAAATTCTACCAGAGGTACAAGGAGGAGCTGGTACTATTCGTTCTGAAACCATTCCAATCAATAGAAAAAGAGGGAATCCTTCCTAACTCATTTTATGAGGCCAGCATCATCCTGATACCAAAGCCTGGCAGAGACACAACAAAAAAAGATAATTTTAGACCAATATCCTTGATGAACATCGATGCAAAAATCCTCAATAAAATACTGGCAAACCAAATCCAGCAGCACATCAAAAAGCTTATCCACCATGATCAAGTGGGCTTCATCTCTGGGATGCAAGGCTGGTTCAACATACGCAAATCAATAAATGTAATCCAGCATATAAACAGAACCAATGACAAAAACCACATGATTATCTCAACAGATGCAGAAAAGGCCTTTGACAAAATTCAACAGCCCTTCATGCTAAAAACTCTCAATAAATTTGGTACTGATGGGACGTATCTCAAAATAATAAGAGCTATCTATGACAAACCCACAGCCAATATCATACTGAATGGGCAAAAACTGGAAGCATTCCCTTTGAAAACTGGCACAAGACAGGGATGCCCTCTCTCACCACTCCTATTCCACATAGTGTTGGAAGTTCTGGCCAGGGCAATCAGGCAGGAGAAAGAAATAAACAGTATTCAATTAGGAAAAGGGGAAGTCCAATTGTCCCTGTTTGCAGATGACATGATTGTATATCTAGAAAACCCCATCGTCTCAGCCCAAAATCTCCTTAAGCTGATAAGCAACTTCAGCAAAGTCTCAGGATACAAAATCAATGTGCAAAAATCACAAGCATTCTTATACACCAATAACAGACAGGCAGAGAGCCAAATCATGAGTGAACTCCCATTCACAATATCTTCAAAGAGAATAAAATACCTAGGAATCCAACTTACAAGGGATGTGAAGGACCTCTTCAAGGAGAACTACAAACCACTGCTCAACGAAATAAAAGAGGATACAAACAAATGGAAGAACATTCCATGCTCATGGATAGGAAGAATCAATATTGTGAAAATGGCCATACTGCCCAAGGTAATTTATAGATTCAATGCCATCCCCATCAAGCTACCAATGACTTTCTTCACAGAATTGGAAAAAACTACTTTAAAGTTCATATGGAACCAAAAAGAGCCCGCATTGCCAAGTCAATCCTAAGCCAAAAGAACAAAGCTGGAGGCATCACGCTACCTGACTTCAAACTATACTACAAGGCTACAGTAACCAAAACAGCATGGTACTGGTACCAAAACAGAGATATAGACCAATGGAACAGAACAGAGCCCTCAGAAATAATACCATACATCTACAACTATCTGATCTTTGACAAACCTGACAAAAACAAGAAATGGGGAAAGGATTCCCTATTTAACCAATGGTGCTAGGAAAACTGGCTAGCCATATGTAGAAAGCTGAAACTGGATCCCTTCCTTACACCTTATACAAAAATTAATTCAAGATGGATTAAAGACTTAAATGTTAGACCTAAAACCATAAAAACCCTAGAAGAAAACCTAGGCAATACCATTCAGGACATAGGCATGGGTAAGGACTTCATGTCTAAAACACCAAAAGCAATGGCCACAAAAGCCAAAATTGACAAATGGGATCTAACTAAACTAAAGAGCTTCTGCACAGCAAAAGAAACTAACATCAGAGTGAACAGGCAACCTATAGAATGGGATAAAATTTTTGCAATCTACTCCTCTGACAAAGGGCTAATATCCAGAATCAACAAAGAACTCAAACAAATTTACAAGAAAAAACCCCCTCAACAAGTGGGTGAAGGATATGAACAGACACTTCTCAAAAGAAGACATTTATGCAGCCAACAGACACATGAGAAAATGCTCATCATCACTGGCCATCAGAGAAATGCAAATCAAAACCACAATGAGATACCATCTCACACCAGTTAGAATGGCGATCATTAAAAAGTCAGGAAACAACAGGTGCTGGAGAGGATGTGGAGAAATAGGAACACTTTTACACTGTTGGTGGGACTGGAAACTGGTTCAACCATTGTGGAAGACAGTGTGGTGATTCCTCAGGGATCTAGAACTAGAAATACCATTTGACCCAGCCATCCCATTACTGGGTATATACCCAAAGGATTATAAATCATGCTGCTATAAAGACACATGCACACGTATGTTTATTGTGGCACTATTCACAATAGCAAAGACCTGGAACCAACCCAAATGTCCAACAATGATAGACTGGATTAAGCAAATGTGGCACATATACACCATGGAATACTATGCAGCCATAAAAAATGATGAGTTCATGTCCTTTGTAGGGACATGGATGAAGCTGGAAACCATCATTCTCAGCAAACTATCGCAAGAACAAAAAACCAAAGACCACATGTTCTCACTCATAGGTGGGAACTGAACAATGAGAACACTTGGACACAGGAAGGGGAACATCACACACCGGGGCCTGTTGTGGGGTGGGGGGAGGGGGGAGGGATAGCATTAGGAGACATACCTAATGTAAATGACAAGTTAATGGGTGCAGCACACCAACATGGCACATGTATACATGTGTAACAAACCTGCACATTGTGCACATGTACCCTAAAACTTAAAGTATAATAATAAAAAAAAGAAAAAAGAAAAAAAAATAAGAGGTGAAAAAATGATTACATGCTATTAATTGTAAGACACATTCTGATTACATATTTGTTTAAACTGGGGGAAAAAAGTACACCTTAGAACCAATCAAACATGTTATTAGCAGATGGAATTTCTCCAAATGAAATTGATAGGCAGCTGATTATGGTTTTAAAATAATTGCATAATCTATTGAGGGAAAAGCCCTTATCCAATCCTCCTAAGTGTAGAGCTCTGTGGTTGTTCAATCCCAGGATAATCTGTAAAACACCACCAGAAGGTGTAGTGCTAATCAGTACAGTGCCGCACAGAGAAATCCTCCATAATGACCCTCTCAAAACACTGGATAAGGGATCTCTACCTTGTGGGCAAAAATTAAGGCAGCCAGATTGGCCGACCAAGGAACTCCACAGCCAAAGGAGCAAGTCAACAAACAGATGCCATGAGATTTGCTAGTCCTATCATTTCATTATTACTCATGGCCAAAAACATCTACAGTAGATGATGTTCTGGATTAGTGACCAATGCACAGTGCTTCCTTTTCACCCCATTTTATTCTCTATTTCTTGTATCTCTACATATCAGGACTTTTTCATAGGGGGAGTAGTTTAAAGATAGTTCAAAGGCAGTTAAAAGGTAGTGGGATTATTAGAAGCCACATTTCATACCTCATGGAGACCTCACTAGAGCATGAAGGGACATTACCTGGAGAACCTATATCTGAAGAACAGTGGTCCTGATCTGTGCTATGATCTCCAGAAGCAGCAGCTGGATGTGTCACTGAATTGTTCTTCACTGGAAAGGAGGCAAATTTATTGGCATTTGTATCGTGGGATGATTGGATTATGTAGATGAGGGCCTTTTTGGAATCATATAATAGGAAATGATGTATATGTGTTGGGCAAACAAAGGGTGGACTGTATGGACACCTGCCATTTTGCTTCTTTATGATGCTGCTTCCCCTGGAAACCACCACCTCCACCTCCCCACTGCCCATAGCGTTATCATGTTAATCAATTTGATCTTCATCCCTTGACCACCATTGATTAGTCCAAAGGTAAGCATCTAAGTTGAATCAAAATATTTCCTGAAAATTTTGCAAACCAAAAAAAAAAAAAAAAAAGAAAGGAGGAGGATGAGGAGGATGAGGAGGAGCTGGCAGCAGCCAGTCTCTTTGGATGCCTACACAACAAGCTTTAAAACTTTAGAATTGTCTGAAGTCCCGTTTTTTACCATGTGGTCTAGAAGCATATTGGAAGTCAGTCTGGGGATGGGGAGGACAGGGACTTGGGACAGGGGAGGGAAATGGAGGCAGGCAGAAAGTAACAGAGTTGAGAGGTAGAGAGAGAACTCTTCTGGGTGGCTTTTGATCTCTTAGTTTCAGTTGTTCCTGAGTCATCCTTGCCCTTAGGTTTCCGTATCTGATTATAAATTTATCTTTTTGCTTAAACTAGTTATCTCTCTCCCTGGGTGAGCTCATCTATTTTTCTCATTTAACTACCATTCTTTTGCTGACAACTCACAAAATATTATCTTTAGCCTGGACCTCTCTCCTGAACCTGTGTATTCAGTAAATGGCATCACAGCATCCCTCGTCACTAACCCGGGAGTCATCCCAGACTTTTCCTTCCTGCTTACCTCCCCTATCCTCTAGTTCTCTAAGTCCCACCAGCAGCAGCTCCCAAATATCCTCAATGCTCTCCTTTTCTCTCTACAACTTTTTCCTTCCATCATTTCAGTCCCTTATTATTAATCCTTGCCTTCACTCTCAAATGCTTTCAAGCCCCCATTCCACACCATAGCCCAAATCATCCTACTAATTTCTGGATATGATCGCATTACTCTTCTGCTCAAAAATTCTTCAGTGGCTCCCCACTGTTTTCAGGATAAAATCTGAACTCCTGCAGCTGGGTCACAAAATTCGCTCACATTACACTCAGATGTGCGATGATTTAAGTCTCCTCTGTTTCCTATAACTAGGCTGATCTTTCTCACAATGCCCTCACCCTGCTGGGTAATGGGCAGTGGGGGGGAGCTAAAAGTAATCCACTCTGGTAAACTCTATAGGATCCAATAATTTATTTTAGACAGTCTCTAAGTACTTTGGTAGCTTTGGATGACTCAGTCTTCCCTTTCTTCTTTCAAGATAGCATCTGGATTTACAGGGGTCTTATGTGAATTTCATGGCATTGGATTGGGGGAAGGGGCCTCTTAGTCACATGGTCCTGGGGGTTGTGTCAGCTGGCATTTGCTGAGATGTGATCGATCTGCTATAAATTAGTGAATAACAACCCTGAGAGGTAGCATTACAACCATTTTACAGATGAGGAAGCTGAGGCTAAGAGAGATTTAGTAACTTGCTCAAGATCACAAAGTTAGTAAGTGAACCAGGAATCAATACTGCCCCGATTACAGTAGGCACTTAGTTATATGAGTCTAGGATTCCAGAGAGAAGTTAAGGCTAGACTTGGGAGCACTGGGAGTCTTCATGATATAGCTTCAGGGATGTGATCCTCCAAGGAGAGCATGTAGAGCGGGATGAGAAGACGGCCGGATCAGAATAGGTGACAATCACTGGCCTGTGAAGGTCGGGGAGGACAAGGTCTACCTCACTGCTCCTGTCCAAGCTATCTTCTTCTTAGGGGAGCTTTTAGGATGGCAAGGCAGGATTTCCACCACGCCTGCACCTATTCCAGCCAGGGCAGAACCATCGCTCAGGACACTCCATTTCTGTCCCAGACTCCCCAACAGCCTGGCAGCAAGCCTGCGACCAACACTGGGTAGGAACTCAGTAAATGTGTCCAAAGAACCTGTGTTGCCAGAGATTTTCACACCTCTTAGGGCCAGGGAACCTGGGGCCCTCTAAAGTGGGAATGCAGAGTCCACACCCAGGTGGCAGAGGGAAGTGCGGGACTGCACTATAGGCGGTTCCCTAGGTGAGGAGATTCAGTCTCCTGCCAGGTGTGGGGACGCGGGGCCTTCCTCCGGATGACTTACTTAAGAGACCTCTCCCAGATACAGAGGGGTGGTTTCCTCACATGTGGAAATGCAGAGGCCTTGGCCTTTCTCGGATGTGGGGTGTACAACCCTTCCAGGTGTAGAAGGTGCAAGAAATCCCTACCAGAGGTTAGGCCTTGCCCCCACCCCATCCCCTCTCCCGGGAAGGATCCAGGGCCAGCTACTCCTTCGGCCCTCCTCCCGCCCCGCGCCGGCACGAGAGGCGGGCTGGTCCCCACCTCAGCGCACCACCAATGGTGCGGGAACCGGGGTTCGGCCAGCCAATTGAGTGGCGGCAGCGGCGCTGGGATGGCTCCGCCCCCGGGCCGCAGGCCGCCGGCCTCCCAGGAGGCGAGGCTCTTCGCTGTTTTTGCTGGCCGCCGAGCCCGGCCGAGCCCAGCCGAACGTAGCCGAGCCCAGCCGAGCCCAACCGAACGCAGCCGAGCCCAGCCGAACACCGCGCAGCTCCCGCCGCCGCCGCCCGAGCGCTGCCGAGCGAGCGAGCGCCGCGGCCGCGGAGGAGGTGCGGCCCCAAGGGGAGGAGGTGCCCGCTCACCGCAGACCGCCCGCGGCAGAGGCCGCCCCGGTCGCGCCGCGGCGGGAGCGGCCGGTGGAGGCTGCGCGGCCGAGGGGGAGGGCCGGGGGAGCGGACGTCGCCTCTGCTGGTCTCCCACCTCCCGCCGCCCCCCGCCCGCAGGCTCCCAAGCCTTAGTCGGCGCCGAGCATCCCGCTGCCCCGGACCCTCCCGCGGGCGCGCACCAGGCTCAACTCAGGTAAGAAGGGCCTCCCGCCACGGGCACGGGGGCCAAGAACACGCGACCCGAAGATGGAGATAAAGAGACAGAGACACACTGCCGCGGAGAGAGACGAACACAAAGACAGAGACACAGGAACCACCGAAAAGACCCCACGGAGAAGGGGATAGGGACACGTCCATGGGAACAGAGGGGGATACAGCCTGGAAGAGAGAGAGAGACACAGAGACTGATGCAGAGATACACAGAGACACACTGGTAGAGAAATGAGACATAGAGGAGACATACTCAGAGATGGGGACACACGGAGAGGCAGCCACACACACAGAGGTGGGTGTGCAGAGGCACAGGCACACATCCAACGGAGGGACAGTGAGACACCAGACACACACACACACCTGACCCAGAGAGGCAGCCCCACATAGAGGCACACAGCCCTGGACGCACAGAGCCTGCACATGCCTGCCAGGGCCTCCACAAAGTTCCCTCTGTGCAAGCTGGCGCCTCTGGAGGTCTCCTGGTCGGGCTGGCTGGAGTCCTGGGAGAGAGGAGGCGCCCAGGCCACACCAGAGCTGCTTACAACCCCCATCCTTTTGGGCTGGGGGCTTCCTGGATCCCACCCACCAACAGAGGGCTTTTGAGGGCTGCAAGCTTGGTGGGCAGGACCAGGGCATGCCCACCAGGTCTAAGGAGAATGAGATGACGGCTGCCTACTGCAGCTTCCCCACGGTGGCTACACACTCATTCAGGTGGCCAGAACCAAGCCTGTGGATGGGGGTGATGGCTCTGTGGGGTATTCGAGCCTGTTGGGACCCAAGGTCTTTCACCAGGGAGGCCAGAAATGTGGGAGGGAGGCTCTCTTCCCTACCTCTCTCCTCCTAGGCCTCACCCCACCCTTCCTCCTCACCACCCTCTCCTTTACTGTATACCCCCAACAGGCTCAGGACTGCAGGTAGACATCTCCACTGCCCAGGAATCACTGAGCGTGCAGACAGCACAGCCTCCTCTGAAGGCCGGCCATACCAGAGTCCTGCCTCGGCATGGGCCTCACCATTGAGGCAGCTCCACTGTCTGTGCTGGTCTGAGGGTGCTGCCTGTCATGGGGGCAGCCATCTCCCAGGGGGCCCTCATCGCCATCGTCTGCAACGGTCTCGTGGGCTTCTTGCTGCTGCTGCTCTGGGTCATCCTCTGCTGGGCCTGCCATTCTCGCTCTGCCGACGTTGACTCTCTCTCTGAATCCAGTCCCAACTCCAGCCCTGGCCCCTGTCCTGAGAAGGCCCCACCACCCCAGAAGCCCAGCCATGAAGGCAGCTACCTGCTGCAGCCCTGAAGGCCCCTGGCCTAGCCTGGAGCCCAGGACCTAAGTCCACCTCACCTAGAGCCTGGAATTAGGATCCCAGAGTTCAGCCAGCCTGGGGTCCAGAACTCAAGAGTCCGCCTGCTTGGAGCTGGACCCAGCGGCCCAGAGTCTAGCCAGCTTGGCTCCAATAGGAGCTCAGTGGCCCTAAGGAGATGGGCCTGGGGTGGGGGCTTATGAGTTGGTGCTAGAGCCAGGGCCATCTGGACTATGCTCCATCCCAAGGGCCAAGGGTCAGGGGCCGGGTCCACTCTTTCCCTAGGCTGAGCACCTCTAGGCCCTCTAGGCTGGGGAAGCAAACTGGAACCCATGGCAATAATAGGAGGGTGTCCAGGCTGGGCCCCTCCCCTGGTCCTCCCAGTGTTTGCTGGATAATAAATGGAACTATGGCTCTACCCTGAGGTTTTCTTCTCTTCCTGAGGGCCCTGTGGTAGCACAATTAAAGGTGTGGGGTGGGTTTCTACACAGGTTTATTTGTGCAAAGTTAGAGGGGTAATGGTGGTTGAAGACCAAGTCCTGGGGTAAGGTGCTGGGACCTTAAGGAACAGAACAAGAAGGGAAGATGCTGGGACCTGATCAGGAGTGGGGTCACATGCTGGGTGCTAAGGCTGGGCTGGGTACCAGGGTCAAGCCCTAGGAGTACTGTATTCAAGCGATGGGACAGAGACTGAGGCCAGCCCCTCAGGTCTTGATTTTCACTTCCCTCACCAGGTTCAGCAGTTTGTCCAGTTTCGCAATCTCCACAGCTGGACCCTTCTGCACCTCCTGCCCCTTCTTTTCCTGGGGAGAGGGAAAGTATACATGAGGGAGGAATGGTGGGCCCCCCCTCTCTGGGTCCCAGCACCACCTCCTCTGCCCAGCCTGTCCAGCTGTGCCCTACCCCTCCCCTGCCCAGTAAATTCTGGATCCCTGCCTCCCCTCTCCCTGACACGATCATTCCCCAACTCGGGTTAGGTGACACAGGGGCTCAGCTGACAGCTTGCAAAAAGGAGTCCAGCTCTGGCTTGAACCTCAGATGGACATGGGGTCTTGATGCTTGTGGGAGTGGGAAAAGGCATCCATTCCCTGACCCTCAGGGGAACAACCTTCCAGGCCAGGGAAATCCAGCTCTGCGAAGGCGGGGGGCTGACTGCTGGCACCATCCTTACCATGGGAAGGTCCCTGGCCGAGACCTATCAAGGAGCTAATGGGTATGTGTTTGGGGAGGGAGGGGCTGTGGACAGAGCCTCAGGGGCCCGGACCTCACCTAGTCCTCTCACCTGATGCCTTCAGGTCAGGTTGGCAGTGGGTGCTATTTGGGGCGAGACCTGCTGTGTCAGACATACCCAGGGTTGGGAAGAGTGTCAAGAGACCCATAAGGGCAGAGGGAATAGTCCATGTGACTCCAGGTGTCGTTGGCTGAGGTTGTCCTTTAGAAGACCAGATCCTGAGTTTATGACCCAACACCCTACCTGCAAAGCACTCCAATCCTTCCATTATAAGTTGGACACTGGAGTGTGTGTCACCCACAGGTCCTGAGAACTCCTTGGCAGACCAGCACCAGTCCCACCCTCCCTGCTGTCCAGGCAGGGGGGTGAGGGCTGTGCTGGGGCAGGCTGGGCAGTTGCCATTTCCCCATTTCCTGCCTTCGCTGTGCTCCTGGGCCCCCATCCTCTCAGCCACCTGTGCCCACTGCTCACTGACACCTACCCCAGCCTTACCTTGGTCTGGCCAGGGCTGTAAAGGGGATGGGGAGGGGTGAGTGCAGGGCCAGTAGGCCCTTCCCTGGCTCCTTTTTGGCTGCTGTCACCATGTGGAGCTCAGATTTCCCCCTGCTGTGACCCCATACCTGCTCCCAAATTTTCTCCCCTATCCGCTTGCAGCCCAGTGCCTTTTTGCCACTACCTAGCTCACCTCTACCCTCTGCAGGCAGAGCACAAAAAAGCTCTTTTTCTCTCTCTTCCCTCTCTCCTTCCTAAATTAAGCTTGGGTTCTCTTCTTGGCTTCACCCCATCCCCTGGGAGTTAGGGGACCTGGTTTTAGTTCCAGCTCTGTCATTAACTCCCTATATGACTTTGGGCAAGGCCTTTGCCTTTCTGAGCTTCAGTTTCCCATCTATCCTGTAGTTAGGGAAAGACAGTCTTTGGCCTTGGACTCTTTGGGCTCTTGACACCCATCATGGGAGCTCCCTGGGCAGGGAGGTCCAGACCTCTGTGGGGAAGCCATTTGGAAAGGGCAGGGAGTCTGCAGCTCACAGAGGAAGGGCAGTAGGGATGCCCAGAGGATTTTGTTTTGCATGAATCACTTGGCTGATAGGGTCAGATGGCAATTTCACGGGAACCTCTAATCCACTCAAGTACCCACCAGCCCCCACCTGTCCCTTCTCAGGTCCTCAGAGACGTAGGTCCCCAGATACACACAGCCCAGCTCTCCCAGCCATGACTGACCCTTCTCTGAGGGGAACTGAAACTATGGGAGATGCTTACCTCCCTGGATCAGAGTGGGCAGGGCAGGCTCCCACCCATGTCTGACCCTTCTCTGAGGGGAACTGAAACTATGGGAGATGCTTACCTCCCTGGATCAGAGTGGGCAGGGCAGGCTCCCACCCATGTCTGACCCTTCTCTGAGGGGAACTGAAACTATGGGAGATGCTTACCTCCCTGGATCAGAGTGGGCAGGGCAGGCTCCCACCCATGTCTACCACCCTCATGGTGTCATGGCTGTACTCCTCCCCCAAAGAATGACCATCATCCCTCCTGGAGGGTTGTCCAACTCTGCCAGCTTCAACCTGGGTCTCTCTCCTCAGAAAATTAAGAACACATTTTATCTATTCCACAAATTATGCTTCCTCCTTCCTCCTCCTTGAGGCCAACTAGCTGGGCTCAGCAAAGAGATTCAGACCACGCCCGACTCCCTCCCTCCCCTCAAGCCCACCACAGCCTCTGGGCCACAGCTGCAGGCGCTTAGCAGCCTTTTGAGTATTTATAGCCAAGTCCACCCTCTCCCCCAGCTGGCTACAATTACAGGGCCAGCCACACTCCCAGCCCTTGCCTCCCTGGCCATGGTGGGGAACAGGCCAAGCCAGCACCAGAGGGATGGTGCCGCAGTCCCTTCCTTGGTAGGAGCACAGTGCAGGGAAGACAGTAGTCGAAAGACACAGGCCCCTGCCACTGCCTCAAACTGCAGTAAATGCCTCAAATTGCCAGGAGGGATGGTCATTAGGGCAAGCTGGCCCAGTCCTGATCCTGGCCCAGAACCTGGCAGAAAGCAAAGAGCCATCTCTACTCTTAGCACACAAATGGGCAGGACTGGGCTCTGGGTTCTTGGGCTCAGGATTCCAAGGCCCGGGCTGCAAAGCCTGGGTTCATAAGTCTGGATCTGGACTCAGATCTAGACTTTAAGGTCATCGCTCTGGGCTCCAGACCTGTATTTGGGGCCCTTGGCCTCTGGGCAGGGTCTCCTGATCATTGGAGACCCTAGAAACAGGAACCAGAGCTCAGAAGGAGGGCTGCATAGCTGCTGACCTAGTTACTCTCCTTGCGGCTCATTTCCTTCCTCTCTGTGTAGACCCACAGCTCCCAGCTCAGGGACCACTGGGGCTGAAGCCCTGTGAAAGCCCAGTCAATGAGGCAGTGGCTCAGCCCCAGGCCCCCTGCCTGGGTGACCTGTCCTACCCACAGCATTTCCACTGGGAAGAAATCAATGATACCTCCACATTTGCCTCTGCAGGCTTCAGATCCACCTGCTCATTGGATGTCTCCACCTGGGAAAGTCACCTGGGGCCCCACAGGTAACTCAAATGCAGCATGTCAAACTGCTGTTTTCTCACAAACCTGCTTCTACTGTGAGCCTCATTCAGGCAATGACACCATCCTTACCCTGGGTCTCCCACATCAGAAACTGGGTGGTCACCCTGGCTTCTCCCTTCTGTCATCCCCACCCTCCTGGAGACTTTACGTCTTGCAGCAGCTCAAAGTCCCAGAGCCTGTACCTTTGGCATCTTGCGCAAATTGGGTGAGAGCTTGAGGCTGATGATGTGCCCACGGTCATCGCCCACAATGATGATGGGGTGGATGAGATTGAACTGCACGTGGGTGAGCCTGTTCTTTTTGGCCGCCACAGGCTGGTTGCAGATGGCCTCATACTTGTTGATGGCTAAGTCAAATATGTGGGCCTGTGGAGAGGTCGGTGTCAGCACACTCAGGGGTAATGAGGCCTGTCTTCCACCTCAGAGGAATGAGTCCCTGGACTTCCTGGGGAAAGACTGTAGAAGGCTAATGGCTAGCACACTGGAGCTGGAGGTGGAGGGAGGGGGAATTTTGTGTCTCTGTGTTTTTCCTATGGTTGAAAGAGTGAGAATTAAAAAGTTTAGGAGAAATTTTAAATCTATGGAGAATTAATAATAGCAGCTATAGGCTGGGCGTGGTGGCTCACTGACGCCTGTAATCCCAGCACTTTGGGAGGCCAAGGTGGGTGAATCACTTGAGGTCAGGAGTTTGAGACCAGGCTGGCCAACATGGTGAAACCCTGTCTCTACCAAAAATACAAAAAATTAGATGGGCGTGGTGGTGCATGCCTGTAGTCCCAGCTACTAGGGAGGCTGAGATGGGAGAATCACTTGAACCTGGGAGGCGGAGGTTACAGTGAGCCAAGATGGAGCCACTGTACTCCAGCCTGGGCAAGAGTGAGATCTTGTCTCAAAAAAAAAAAAAAAGAAAAGAAAAGAAAATAGCAGCTACCATTTGTTGAGCACTCACTATGTACTAGACTCTGGGCAAGCACATCATACGGTTGCATCACCTCATTATGCTCTTCACAACCACTCTGTAAGGTGGTTCTGTCATTATCTTTATTTTATAACGGAGGAGTTAGAGGCTCTTAGAGGCTAACCTGCTAGTAAGTGGCAGAGCCAGGGCTTACACCAGTTAATATATGTAAAGTGCAAGGACAGTGCTTGACATACCAGTGCTCATTCCATGTTGGATGCTACCTTCACCACACCCTCAGACCAAACCACTACCAACTCTCACCTGGACAACTGTGGCAGCCTCTTAACTGGTCTCCCCGCTTCCACTCTTGCCTTGTTACAATCCATCCTCCATATGGCAGTAGGCTTACCTTTAAAGCACTTAAAATCCTCCCACAGTCTCCCTTGGCACTATAAATAAAATCCAGATCCCACACTCTAGCCCACCTCCCCACTCTCACCTCATGTTCTCGCCCCTTGCTTACTCTACCCCAACCACACTTGCCTTCCTGTTCCTTAAACCCCAAGCTGGTTCCCACCTCAGGGCATCTGCCCCAGCTGCTCCCTCACCATGGGCTGCTCCCCTGCCCTATCTCCACATGGCTGCCTCCTTCTTGCCAGTCAACTCTCAGCGTGCGTGTCACCTCTTCAAAGAAGCCTTTCCTGACCACTGTATCCAACAGACCACCCAGTCCTTTTATTTTTTCTTTTTCTTTTTTTCTTTTTCATTGCCTGGCCTTTGTGAACCTATCTTTCTTCTTTTAATGTAACAACTTTATTGAGATATAATTCATATACTATAAAATTCACTCATTTAAAGCATCAAATTCTTGGTGTTAGTATATTCACAGTTATGCAACCTTCTCTACAACCGATTTTAGAACATTTTCACCACCCTAGGCCACACAAATTGACTTTCCATCTCTACAAATTTGCCTGTTTTGGATGTATTATAGAAGTGGAATTATACAGTATGTGGTCTTTTGTGACTGGCTTTTTACGCTAAGCATGTTGTCAAGGTTCCTCCATGTTGTAGCATGTATCAGCACATCATTCCTTGTCCTTGCTGACATAATCCCCAAGGAGAGACTATATTTTGTTTATCTATTCAGCAGTTGATGGACACTGGGTTGTTGCCACTCTGACTGTTATGAGTAATGCTGCCATGAACATTTATGTTTACATATCACAGTCTTTTATTAATAATTCTCTGCCTAGAACACTGGGAATTTTGTTGTTGCTTTTTGTATCTTTCCCTTCACTAGAACATAAGCTCCACAAGAGCAGGTATCTAAGCCACCAGGGTCCAGCCTAGAGCTGGGCACCATCGTTGGCCCTTAGTAGTTATCTGTTCCAGGAAGAGATGACTGACGGACTTTAGAATGGTGCCTTCATCGCTGCATTCTTTCCTTGGGGCAGCCAGTGCTTCTCAGTTTATATCAAAGTCCATAGGGAAAATGGGTTTGCATTCAAGAATATGCTCACAAGATGTTTGTTTCTGAGCTCTCACCAATTCTCAGTGTTGAATAGCCCCCTCCCATTCCACCCCACTGAAGTTCCCTCAGAATCAGCTTGCACACTCCCGGGGATGGAGACTTCACTACATTATAGACACTATTCAGTCACTGATCAACTCTGGCTCATACATTTTTCCTTAGATGGAGCCGGGCCCTGCCACCCTCTAGCTCTCCACCATACAGCAGAGGAAATAACTGCTCCATGGCATCTCATCCCCCAGAGTGCTTTCTCCTCCAAGGTGAACAGCTCTGTTTCCTCCCTGAAGCCTCATGGGATGAATGATTCCTCTTTTGGCTGGACCCTGGATGGCTTGCCCCTGGAAAATACACAGTCCTTATGTCCCGCCTTCTCCTTCCTGACCTAGGCATGGGATGGGTTCTCCATCAGGAAGCCCCTGAGATAACACACCTGATCTCCAGTAGGGACTCAGTGAAGTCAGGACGCTGGCACTCACCTTCCCATCTGTGGTGACTGCTGCGAACACAGTAGAAGAGTATGGCGCCCAGGCCACATCACCCACGGCTGAGTTCAGGTCATAGATGAACATCGGGGTCCTGCAGAGGTGGAGGGTGGAAAGCCCATGGCACAGAGGGCTCACAGTGCCATAGCCCAGGGGAGGGCCCCAGGCAGAGCCAGGAACAGGCCCCTCACTTGATGGTGTGGTCCCAGATCTTCACTGTCCAGTCGGAGCTGCAGGACATGAAGACCTTGGTGTGGTATGGGTTCCAGGACACAGTGTCCACTGACATGTTGTGGGCGTCATAGGTGTCGAGGAATTGGCTGGAGTAGGATTTAGAGCACTGGTCGGGGAGGGAACGGGGGTCAGAAGTGAGAGAAAGGTCAGCAGCCACCACTTCCCTGGGGGTCTGGAGGATCAGAGCCTTAGACTCCTGTCCTTAACCCACATCGCATCCCAGCTGAACTGGGGCCAAGCTCCTGGCTGCCCTTCCCACCCTCAGCACACCCTGGGGGAAAGGAAGGGCTTGAGGATCTGGGGGTTCAGGATGGGCAGGGGAGACTTCCTGCAGGATGAAGGAAAGGGCTGTAGTGCCCTGACCCCAGAGGATTCCAGGCCAGACAGAAAAAGCCTTCTCTCCTTAAGAGAGGGCAGAGCAGGTCTCAGGCCCTGAGTGAGGTGTGGTCTGGCCATCTTCCAGGCCAGGACCTGTGGACAAACAGAGCCCTGGTTCCACCTGCAGCCCAGACATCATCCTTGCAACAGTGATAACATCCCACCTTGTCCAGGCAAGAGCAGGTGCAGAGCCAGAAGCTGACTTGGATCTCCAGCTTTCCTATTCAGTTTTTTGCCCTGACCAGCATGCCCCTTTCTCCCTCCCTCCAGAAGACAGTGTGACTGAGTAATCTCTTGTTACTCCTGCCTCTCCTGGGCTGCCAGTGGGAGGGGTGAAGAGGGGGTGGGGACTTCTTTTGCATTCAGACCAGCTCTGGCTGGGCCTCAGGGGCTCCCAAGAGGCTGCCTGTAATTAACATTCTGAGTCTCTGAGCCTAAGAAAAGCTTGCAGCAGAGCTATTTCTGGATGGATGGAAGTTCAGAAGGACGTTCACCTACTACCACTGAGACCTTGTAGAAACTGACCGTGAGGTTCCATCCTGCTGGCTGGGATGTACCCAGTATTCAGAGATAATTCTGGCCTTCCAAGCTCAGCTCAAGTACAAATCTCCTCCAGGAAGTTTTCCCAAAATATTCTAACTCCTCCGAATCCCCCCTTCTACCTCAACTCCCAGGAAGGGAGGGAGGGCCCGGAGGAAAAGATGCTGAGCTGGGCTAAAGTCACCCTCTAGATTCTCCATCCCCTTTCCTGCATTTAGCCCTTATTCCTATCACCCAAGCAGGTCAAGAAATACATTCTCTTCCCTCAAGAGGCCTTCTAGAACTGACGGGAACTAAAATCCATCAAAATAGGATCTGTTGAGAACTCTAAGCTCCCCAGGTGCTCAGGTCTAAGCGGCCTTCTAAGGAGCTGGCACAGGGCAGCCTCACCTTGTAGATTTTTCCCTCCTCTGTGCCCACTAGGAACATGTAGTCAATCTCTTTGTGGAAGTCAAAGGCAGTGCCACAACCTTGGGAAAAGAGGGAGGGGCAGGCTTAGCCCAGTTCCAAGAGGGAGGCTCCCAGTGCCTCCCCTACTCAGCAGAGGAGCTCAGCCCAGGCACTCTCAGCGCAGGACTCAGCGCAGGACAGACTGAACTAGGGCCCCTGTAAGGGCTGGGACCAGGCCAGGCAAACAGAAACCAGCCCTCTGGCCTGCTTGTCCCAGGCAGTTAGGATTCTGCAAACGGCCAGGGGTTCTGCAGACAGGAATGGGGGCCTGGGTAAACAAGGCAGGGATTGAGTTAAACAGGGTCAGGGTCAGGGTAAACAGGGACAGGGTCTGCAAACAGGGACACGGTCTGTGCCAACAGGGATATAGTCTGCATAAACAGGGTAGGAATTGAGTAAACAGGGACAGGATCTGGGTAAACAGGGGCCTGATCTGCATAAACAGGGCTGGATCTGCATAACAGCACCTGATCTGCATAAACAGGAACAGGGTCTGCAAACACAGGGATGGGAACTGCATAAACAGGGAGGGTCTACAAACAGCCAAGGGTTCAGCAGACAGGGCCGGGCCTTCCTACAATCTCCTGTCAGGCCCTGGCACAGGTTGGGGAGGGAGCACTCAGTCAGGGGAAGGACCACTGTCACTGACCCTCACTGGGCCTGAATGACCTGGCCAGGCCTGGAGGTGAGAGGGCTGGGGCTCCTACCCACTGGGTGCAGCTGCAACCCCTCAGGAACTTCCGTGGTGCTGCCTTCCACCTTCAGCTTGATGACATCTATGTGAACCAGCTTTCTCTGTAGCCACAGACAGAGGGATGTGGGGGGGAGGGCACGTGGGTTGGGCTAGATGAGCAAGGCTGGGGGTTGCCCTTTGCCATTTAGCTCCCTGCCTCCCCAATCACCCCAGTGTGACCCTCTCTGGGAAATAGGCACCTTCACGAGAGTCCAAGACACAATCCTGCCGTCAGATGACACAGAGAAGAAGTTAAGGTTTTGGTCCATGTCATCCTTCTGCCACTTGACCTGAAACATCCCAAAATGTGAGCTCTGGGACCCTGCTAAAGTGTTGAGTTAGGGCTGTGGGCAGAGCAGGGCTCCCCCAAGCACCCATCTGAGGCTCAGAAGCAACTTCTGGGAGCCCATTTCCCAGAATCCCATGATTGGTCCTTTCTCCCTCCTTCCATCCATCTCTGTCTCTCATTCCTTTCTTGGGGATTTCTCATTCCTTTCTTGACCATCCTGGAGCAATAGTGCCAGTCAAAGCATTGCCTTAATTTACTGGCTTGGCAGTGGAGGTACCCAATCCCTCCCTGGGTTGGGTTCCAGGAGCTCCACTGTGGGGAGAAGGCAGTGGCTACGGCTTCAACCACCTTGCATAAATAAACATGGCCTGGAAAGAACAGGGCCCATCAACCAGTTTCCTGTTTATAAAACAGGAGTCATAATAGCATAGGTTTGTTATGAGAAATAAATGAGATACTATATGTGAAGCCCTTACGTCAGAACATTGCACATATGAAGTATTCGATACATGTTAGCTAATGTCCTCATTGTTACCATCATCCTCGGAATCTGGGTGCCAAGGTTCTGCAGGGGCCTTTCCCTGCTTGCTAGTGGGGGGTGAAGAGGAGCAGGCCCCCGTCTCCTGCCCACCTCTTCCAGGCTTGGCCTTTCTCTAGGAAGTGTCTCCTCTTTCCCACCTTTCCTTTGCTACTAACTCCTGCTCCCAGAACTTTGCTCCCAGTCCCAGATTTGAGTTGCATTTCTCCAACTGCAAATCAGGGTTAATTATCCTGCCCCACCCATCTTCTCAGGGCTGGAAGCAAACATATGGGAAAGTGTTTTGGAGACAGAGCTGTTGTCTTATGAAGATGACACGCTTGAGACTCAAGTTTCTGTTGCCAGATGTGGAGGCCTGGCCAAGCCATGTCCCAGAGAGCTGGGGTGGGGCTGGGTGCCCAGAGTTTTCCATTCTCTAGCTCCCTCCAGACCGCCCATGCTGGGACCACCGTCCTGTCCCCTCCCCGTCACTAGCAGAGGACCAGTGAGGGAGGCCAAGAACCCAGTGCCATTGCCTGTTGCCTGTAACTGCTGCTGTCACCAGGGTTGTTGGGGGCTGGAGGGAAGTAGAGAATGGGTTGCCTCTCCCCAGCCAGCCTGAGGCCTGGTGGATCGGAGCTTCAGGAGGGCGGGCTGAGTCCTGTCTTGGTCTGTCCAGGCAGCTGGCTCTTTTGCACTTTCACTGGACTGAGAGCGCCACAGAGCCTGTGAGGCATAAGTCAGAGTCAGCCCTAATATTGAGACCGCTTCTCCTTCTGTGTAAAGGTGGTCCCTTTAAAGGGGGGAGGGGACAGGGGGTGTCAAAGGCCAGGCTGTAAGAGGCGCTAGGGAGCTGCAAAGGGAAGTGTTTAATGAGCAGACGCCAGCACCGCATGGAAATTGTATTTCACACCCCACTTAGCAGCCTGATGCCCAGTGGGGGGTGGTGTGTGTGTATTTGCAAGTGACTGTGTATGTGTGTATGTGCGCAAGTCACACACATGCTCCTGGGGTGGAGGTGAGCCGGTAGGAATAAAGCAAAAGAGGGAGGGTGGTAAGTGAGGTTAAGAGAATGAATGAATTCCCAGGGACCAGGTGGTAGGGAGGAGCTGGAACCTGCTTCACTGATTTATTCTCTTCTGCCTTATTTTCTTAGGGCAGACCTGCTTGACCCTAGTCTCTTGCTCGTACATCCTTCCTGCCTCCTTCCCCAGAATTGCACCAGCACGCACACACACACACACCCCACAGAGTGTTGCTGGTTGAAGCTTCACAGTAGGGCCTGCACAGAGCTGGCTACTCAGGCAGGTTCCCTGGAGAAGAAGCCTGTGCTGTGGGACAGGAGCCCAATCTTCTTAGAACAGACAGTCCTCTCCTTGGCTCCAAAACCTTCCATGGCTCACCACTGCCAACAGAACAAACTCCTTCTGCCTCAGCCTGGCATTTGAGATCTAACACAACCTCTCTGGCCTCCCCCATATATCTCTGACACAGTATCTCTGACACAGTCCTGTTAAGAGGGACTTAGACTCTGATGTCTCTGACATCTCATTCACCAGCCTGGCTTTCCTTCAACCTCCATGCTCATATAGCCAACTGCCTGGAGGATGCCTCCCTCTGGGTGTCCCTTGGGTTTCTTGTATTACTTTCTGGCCAAACCTGTTTTTCTTTTTTTTCTTTTTTTTTTTTTTTTGAGACGGAGTCTCGCTCTGTCGCCCAGGCCGGACTGCGGACTGCAGTGGCGCAACTGTTTTTCTTCTGCCATTTCTCACTCCTATGGATGGCCTACTAAGCACCTCAAACCCAGGCAGCATCAGTTCTTCTATCTAATATCTGATCAATCACTTCCTTCTATTGATTTTGCTACCCCACCAGCTCTCAACCCTGTCTTCTCATTTCTGTCTCCACTGCCCCTGCCCTAGCTCAGGCTTCAAAATCACTCATGCTGCAGCCAGAGGATCCTTCCAAGAGACAAACATGACTGTGTTACTCCTCTGCCCCAAACTCTCTGATGGCTGGGCAGCAATTTTCGAACTATGCTCAGGGGGGTAGAGGGAGTGAAAACAGGGGACCCTTAAGCAAGCAGGGACCTGGTCCTAACAGAGCACCACTCTCATCTTTTTAATATTTTCTCATCTCTTTTTAATATTAATCTCATCTTTTTAATATGGGCTTCTGCATGAACACTTTGCTTGAAACCACGGACGTACAATGTCCAAGCATCTTAACTTAATAGATAAGTGCAGGGTGCTTCAAATGACGTGTCACTTCCCAACAGGCTACTCTGCTTGATGCCCCATGTCATTGCACATGTGACCCCTTTGTACCCTTCTTCATCTCACTAACTCTCTCTCCTCCCTCACAATCCAGCTCAGGTGTTGCTTCCTCTAGAAAGACCTGCCCAGCCCTCCACCCCCTGGTCCCCACCCAGGACAGTGTGGGTGCCCCTCCTTGCGCACTTCTACTTTAGCACTTAGCACGCTGCCCTGCCCTGGTCAGTCTGTGGCTGTGGTTATCTCCCCAGTAGGAACTCCAGAGATCAACCAGAGGAGCACACAGGGAGGAGTTACTGAATGTATGAATGAGTAAGTGAATGAATAAGGAGGGAGGAAGGAATGAGAAGAAAAGAAGAGAACAGGAAGTGAGTAAACAAGTGAGAGACAGGTGGGTCCTGACCATGTCACATGCCATTATTCTATATAAAAAACTGAGTCTTCCATTTTGCAAAGGCAGCAGCCCTGTTTTCCTGGCAGGATAGGAGAGCAGAAGGCTTCTCTGTCCAGCTGAGTTCCTGTCTTCTTGGGACCTGCTCAGCGAAAGCAATAATGTTTCTTCTCAACGCCCCATTTTCCCAGCAATCTGCTATTTGATTTACAGGACATAGCAGAGTAGGAGTAGGGTGGTTGGCTTGGGCCTCTGCCCTTCTGCTTGGCTTGAGGAAGGAAGGTGGTCAGGCCAACCAGAGATGCTCTGCGCTTGGCCCTGGGCTATCTGAGCTGGGAAAGCAGGGGCAGGGCTGGGCCAGGTATGATCAAGACAGGCCTTTTCTCCTCTCCCTGAGTTTTAAAGTTTCTACAGAGATCCTTCCCTGCCTGGAGACCTACATGTGTCTGGAAGGCCTGGTGATTAATTGGGAGGTGGACTTTTTGGTGGAGAAAACTCCTGAGGCTGCAACCTCTGGTCTCTGCTTTGTTGGAGAGTAGCCGGGGAGGGCGTATGGCAGGAGGGGCTGCCTCCCTCCCACCCTCTGCCCCAGGCTCTGGGTAAAGGATAAAGCTGAGAGGGCACCATGGCCCCTGTGCCTGGGCAGTCCTCCCTCTGCTCAGGCCTGTCAGTGCTGGGGAAGGTGTCCACATGTCTCAGGAAGCTCAGGGCCATAAGAGGCAGGAGTGTAGAACTTGCCTGCAGACTGTCAGGGCAGGAGGGAAGTGAAAGAAGAGAAGACAGAGTCCCACTGCTGTCTGATGAGCCCAGAGACCTTGAGCAACTTCAGGCAGAAATTCATCCTTAGGTCCTCCCAGTCCTGCCCATGGAAAAATAGTACACAGCCTTTGAAAGAAGGGGACCTTTGGGACACAATAAGGAAGGGCCTGCAAAGCCACAGCTAAGAGACCCTCTGAGAGTGAAACTGAAATCTACGCCCAGTGGAATATGATGGGAAACACAGTCAGGGTGAAATCCAGCCCCAATGTCGAGGTAATGGTTCCAGGTTGGTGTCAGACTTCTGCAGAGGCCCCACCCACCACTCTAGGTATGTCTGGAGAAGAGGGGGTGCTACAGAGAGGCTCAGGGGCAGACCTGCCTACCAGGCCTTACAGTCCCACCCGAGGGCAGGCAACCAGCAGCAGCCACCCCTTCCTGGGAGTTTCCCCAAATCTAGCCCAGATGGCAGAGGAAAGGCCCCGTGCGGAGTTGAGGAAGCTTGTAGACAAGGACCTGGTCTTTAACATACAGTTGACCCTTGACCAACATGACTTTGAACTACATGGGTCCAACTATACACAGGTTTTCTTCTGCCCCTGCCATCCATGAGACAGCAAGACCAACCCCTCCTCTTTCTCCTCCTCTTCAGCCTCCTCAATGTGAAGATGATGAGGATGAAGACCTTTGTGATGATCCACTTACATTTAATGAACAGTAAATATATTTTTTCTTCCTTATGATTTTCCTAATAACATATTTTCTTTTCTCTACTTGCCTAATTGTAAGGATACAGTACATAAAATATACATAACACACAATATATGTGTTATTTGACTGTTGTCAGTAAGGCTTCTGGTCAAAAGTAAGCTATTAGTAGTTATGTTTTTGAGGACCCCAAAGTTATACACAGATTTTTGACTGTGTGGGGGTCAGTGTCCCTCATTCCCACATTGTCTAAGGGCCCACTGTACTCAGCTGGAGCCTGTCAGGCCCTGGAGCCTTCCAGCTATGTCTTCTGAGTTACTGATCGCCACATCTAAGAGATCTTTAGCAAACAGGTGGGGGCCCTCCTGAGGGAAGCTCTGGAGCAGCAGACCCCAGCTCTCACTGGAGACCCTCTTGCCTCCTGATTTTCACCTTCTGCCCTTTTCTGACACCCAGATCCTGACCTGATGGTACCTGCCATCCTCATCTCCTTGCCTGTGGTCCTCTCCTCCCCAAGCTCCCTCCCTCCTCCAGTGGCTCCAGGCCCACATGCTGCTCCCATCCCCACCCCTCCCAGCCTGGTTGCTGACCTGCCACACAGGGTCTGAGTGCTTGCCAGACTTGGCTGAGCTGCAGAAGGAGGGCTGGGAGTGGGGCTTCTTGAGGTTGTAAATGGCCACGTTGCCGTCATAGTGGCCTACTGCCACCAGGTAGGGGTGGTCCACGTGGATGTCGAGACACATGACGCCGCTGTTGCTGCTGAACATGTACTCAGGGAAGCTGGGGTTCTTCAGGCTGTAGAGCAGCAGCATGCCCCGGCTCTGCTTCATGAAGTCATCTACCCAGGGAAGATGGGCGGCTGAGGTTGGAGGATCCAACTGCCCTGCCTGGAGAAGCCCCCTCACCCCTACCCCACTAGGTGGGCAAGCCCTGCCCTGCTCTGCATCTGTCAGAGTGTGGGATTCCTCTCTGGGATTCATCTTTTCCATCTGTGAAGTGGAATTATGAGATGTGACCTTTCCCTTCTCAGAGATCATGGAAAGATCCAACAACCAATCAAGGTGACCAGGTTTATTCTCCTAATTCTCCCCAAGGTGCAGGAAAGGGGGATGCTGGCTCAAAGAGCTGCTAAGTGAAGAAGGTGTGTGAGCTTGGGAAGGAGCAGAACCCTCAGAGGGGGTTTGGATGCCCAGCCAAGGGCAGGCAGCTTTCCATAGATGCCTGGATAATGCCCATGTACCCCTCCCCCCAGCTAAATATGGGCTAAGCTTGAACTAACATCGAATTGTCTACAGTGAGTCCCAAACTAGCCACCTATGAGCATATCCCCACAGTCCCAGGTTCAGCCTGAGCCCTAGATCTAGGCATGCTCCCCAAACCCAGAAGTCCCAGGCCAGCCAGTCAGGCTTCCACAGGCCCACTTGACCTGGGCACAGCTTTTGGCAATCAACAATGGACCACTCAGCAGAGGCCCTTCTCCCCACCAGCCCCATGTCAAGGGAGTGCCTCCCACTCTTTCTTTCATTTTCTGTGTACTTGGCGCCCATCCTGATATGTAGTCATGAACATAGTCCCAGCCCTTCCGCCACCAGCTCGGTCCTCCCAGCCTCCTCACCAAGCTCAGGGGAGCCGAAGCTGGAGAGGTGGAAGGCTAGTGCAGCCCCTACCTGGGGGCACTCTGCTAAAGCAGAGGGCATGTAGGGGCATCAGGCCAGGTCAGTGGACAGGAGGAAGTAGATGCCACGCTACAGAGACAAGGATACCAGGCCAGCCACTGACAGCAGGCTTCCTCTCTTACTGTGCTGTCCTAAATGAGTCTAGCCCAGGACTGGCTCCAAGACAGCAGCTGTTTAATGACTCCCTTATTAAGTCATGCAAGAGGCACTTGGAGGGGGTGTGTGGTAGGCAGAATAAGGCCCCCCTGCAAAGATGTCCATATCCTAATCCCCTGAGCCTGTAAATATGTCACTTTTCATGGCAAGAGGGATTCTGCAGATTTGATTAAGTGAAAGACATTGAGATGGAGGAGATTATCCTGGATTATCTGGGTAGACTCAATGTAATCACAAGGGTTCTTATAAGGGAAAGAGGGAGGCAGGAGAGTCAGGGAAGGAGATGTAACCATAGAAGCAGATGTCAGAATGATTCGATTGCTTGCTGGAAGGGGACCACAAGCCATGGAATGTGGGCAGCCTGTAGAAATTGGAAAGGGGAGGGAAAGGGCTGCTCCCCTGGAGCCTCAAGAGGGAATGCAGCCCTGTTACCACCTGGTTTTGGTTCCGTGAAACCTATTTTGGACTTCTGACCTCCAGAACTATATGATAATTTTGTGTTATTTTAAGCCATTAAATTTGTGGTAGTTTATTCCAGCAGCAACGGGAAACTAATATAGTAGACATTTAGGGAAAATTGACCCAAACGTACTTTAGGAATCAGAGAGAGAGGCTCCCATAGATGGCACTTTTTTTTTTCTGGGATGGTTTGGAAGCCGTCCCTCTAGAAGTCAGCTGGATGGATGCAATGCTCCTCCGCCCTTCTGATGACAATAATGAAACCCTCTCTCCATTTCCCATACCTCAGCCTTGCCACCTTCGACTCCAGGAACAAAAATTCCCCTTGTGTTAGGACGTTCACAGTTTCCAAAGGCAGGGGACTAGCCCAAGGCTGCTCTAAAGAAGGTTATCAGTTGCTAGAGGGTTCAAAACCTCAAGCATGGCCCAGAGGCCATGGTGCCGAGCTGGGCTCAGCCTCTCCAGCAGCTGGGCTTTTCCAGGCACTCTCGTTCGATTAGAAGTCATATTTAAACAGTGTGGAAATAAGAGCAAGGCCTTAGAGACAGAATACATCAAGCGGGACATTTAATTTGATTTAGGGAAAATGAGGCAAACATTTGAGAACCTAAATAACTAACCAGTAATTAAACTAACAACAGGAATGCCCTTGCATTACAACCCAGCAAGCACAGTGGCCTTTAAGGACTGTATTTACAAAGAGACCTGACAACATAATTAGTCTTGTAAATTTTACGCAGCCCGCAGCCGAGGAGTGATGGATTTTGTGTGTGGAGGATGAATGAGAAGAAATGAGGTGGATGAATTTCCATTTCCAGTAAATGAAATTAACACTGCTTAATTAGTGAAGCTGACAAACAAATGATCAGGAAAGATTTAAATCCCTAAAAGTGTATCTCTGGCCTGGGCAGGCCCAGGGACAGGCCAGGATGTGGTGGGACAGAGTGGGAAGGGATTTAGAGCTGGGACTCAGAGCCTGACATTGGCCCCTTTTGAGGGTGCTGTCCCCAGACAGAGGCTGGGCTGGGGAACAGCTGGCTCCCCTGCTCTTCCAATACATGGCGCTCTGGGAAGCTTCTTGCCCCATCTCCTGTGTGATAGCCTCAGGACCACACAGAGCATCCTGATCTGTTCCACCATCCATGCCTGGAAGACCATGAGAAGTCCCTGTTTCCCTGCTATGAATTGGCTAATGGGCTGGAAAGGACCCCTTCAGTACAGCCGGCTGACATCATTGCATCCCAGCAGTCCCAAGGCCATCTCTTCTTGGGCTAGTTCCTTTTCTTCTAACCTTCCTCCACCTGCTTTATACCTACTGACAGCCTCTTTCTCTACTCTGCTGGGAACATGTAGCCTGGCCCTAGGGGGATCCCAATCTTTGCCCTTTAAGCAGCCTATTGTGCTCACTAGCTGGTACCCAGCAGCTATAGAAGGGAAGCAGGTAGGGATGTTTCTGTGCTGTTGCAGGCAATTGCCCAGATTTCCTTTTCTCTACCTGCTTGTTCCTGGCTGGCTCCAACCAACCTGGCCTGTCCCAGAAATGAGGGAATGGCTACAGTCCTTCCTAGGGTACATACCTACCCCTGCCAAAGTTTTATTTGGCTGAGTCACAGAATAAATATCTGGGAATACCATAAAAAGGAGGTTTATGAGGTCTAGACTCAGCTCACCAGAGTCAAATCCAACTACAAACCCAAATTCTCACTCCAGTGTTTGTCCTCATGAGGCAAAAGCTGATTATGGGAGGGTGGTATCTGGGAGCTTCCAAAGACAGTGTGATGGATGCTGGTGAGACCAGCTGCTCCTCATAGTGACCCCATCCAGCAGCTAGGGTGCCTTCTGTCTGCCCCAGCTTCGCCCTCTTTCTCCCATGGAGGCACTCAAGAGCATGGGACTCCCAGAGGCAAGCTCAGGATGGATGCAGGGGCCTTCCTGAGTCTCAGCCAGCCTGGTTCTATTCAGGCCTCTGCAGGTGGTTCTGAGATATGCAAGGCTCTGGAGAATAGATGCTCATCTGAAAGCCGGCCAACAACCCCAGAGCCAGTGACAACAAAAGCAAATACCACTGCTGCTGCCACTGGGCCCTGCTCCCTAGGAGACTACCTCTGTCTCCACACCCCCCTTCTCTGCTCGGGCTCCCTGAGGGTACTGCAGGAAAGCTACGAGAAAGAATGACAGACAAATCAGCAATGATTGTCCGTTATGTGTAGGTGGTTCCTCCGCTTGCAGCATGTTTACTTCTTCTCTCTCAAGCGTACCTCACAATAGCCCTGGAATGGAGGCCTGGCAGGTTGTCAGCCTTTCCATGTCACCAACGAAGAAACCAAGGCTCAGAGAGGCTTCTGGCCCCAGGTGTCACTGGAAAGTGACACCCCCACCCCCAGGACTGTAGCTGACGACGGGTACCACTCAGGCACGTGGATGTAGCTAACAGCATCAAGGAAGGACAAAGAGACCGTTCTCAGGTAAGTGCCTGCCCAAAGGACATTGCTGGGCTTGTCAGGCTCAAGGTCTTCTGCTGGTGGGAGGTGACCTACTCTACTGCTCCTGCCCAAGGCTGCCCAGCCCTCCAGCCCCCACGACAGCCTCCACATGACCCCGACCAGCTGAGCCTGCTTCCGAACCTGGGTGCGGGGAGAATAGCGCTAAAACTGAAGCAGTTTCCCCTCCCACCTTCTGAGGAGCAACCCCTACACCCCTGCTTCAGACCTGGGCAGAGAGCCTGGGTTGAGAGTAGCCTCACAGGGGGGTCCACACCCACTCCTGGGAGGGCCTGCCCAACCCAACCCCCAGGCCCTGTTCCAGGCCCAGTAGCTGCAGCAGAGGGGGAGGAATGTGCTAGTTCCCTGCCAGAGGGGGAGGGCACTTCCCACTTGGCAGCAGCCCACCCTCAGGAGTGGGGACACAAAGCAGGCATTTAGGGCATCCTCAAAGGCGGCCCAGACCACAAGACTGGGAGTAGCTCCAAGGTCTCCTCCCTGAGAGGAATGACAAACACCCACTGCCCCTCCCCACCCTGGTCAAAGAATGGGTGGACAGGCAGTCTGAGGGGCAGTGACTGGGAGCTTGTATGCCTGCCAGCCAGCAGCAGCTTGGAGAATGGAAAGGTTTTTGTGTTTGCAGAAGCTGATCCTCCCAGCCAGAGAACAAGCTGTTAGCACTGGGGAGCGAGACTACTGTGAAGTGTAGGGCCCTCTCCCGTTGGGAAGGGGGAATGTCCAGGCCAGCACAGCGCTAGGGGCTTCTTCTGGGACCAAGTAACATGAAGGGAAAGCAAATCGCCTGGACACAGTTTCCATTGTGCTGCCTTCCTGCCTTGGGTGGGTAACTGGCAGGGGCGGGCACACTCTGGATAGCAGTGGGCTCCGAAGGTTCAGGGGATCCCATCCCCCATGCCCCCACCCACCCGGTCAGGAAGGCCTGAGGAGGAGGCAGGAAGGGGGGGTCTCCATCCCTACTCCACAGTGTGGTTAAGGTCCTGCCATCTCTCCTTGGGATGCCCGCATCAGTCTCCTAACTGGTTTCCTTGCCTCCAGTCTCAGGCCTGCAATGCCTGCAATTCCTCCCTGCACTGGTCATGTCCCTGTCCTTGAATTCCTTCAGTGGTTTCCCCTCAGGAGAAGATCCAAGCTTTTTGGAATGGCTTACCAGGCCCTTTGAGGGCTGACCCTGGCCCCCCCAGCAGCTTCATATTCTGCCATATTCCTCATGCCTCCAAGCCTTTGCATATGCAGGTCCCTCTGCCAGAAGTGTTTTCCCCTCTTTCTTCACCAGAATAACTCCTTCAAGGTTCCATTGACACATTCAGCTTAGAATATTCCTTCACCCAGCACTAATTGCCAGTAGGATTGTGGGTCTTCCCCATTAGACTGTGAGCCCCCTGCGGGCAGTCATCTTTGTATTTCTTACAACTGGCAAAGAGTTCTGCACAGAGTAGGTACTTAGTGTTTGCTGTTTACATGAGCAAATAAATGAATAGTCAGATCACTTACAAGAGCCATATCCCACTGCAAACAGATCCCTGTACTTTGGATTCCTGCAAAAAAAAATATGAATCCATTGGCATAGGAAATGAACATGGCCCTCCTGTGGACAAGGGCCTTCCCATTGGCACTGGTGCCTAAATATACTACAGACATCTGTTCTCCAGCTTAGGCCCTCACCACTTGGGAGTCCTGGGGGTGGTCTTGTGATCCCATAAGAATCCAAGTTCCATATTTTTCTATACTGTCACATGTCATACTCAAGGTGGTTAAGTGCAGAAGGGGGTACTGGGGGTTTGGGATGTAGAGGGCACTCAGGGGCTCTGCATTTGCTGCAATGCCTATACTTACCAGCAGAGGGCAGTGACGGACAGGCGCTTGGCTTTGTCATTTTGGAACTTCCAGAGCGGCAGCAGGGTACCCACCTGGTCCCGGTATTCATCAGCAGCATCGTCATAGTACTTAAAATCTTAAACACACACAGGCAGAGTCAGCCCTGGGACTGCCGCTTTATGGCAAACCCAGGTCCACCACTTACTGTCTGTACCTCCTTGGGCAAAACAATGAGCCTCTGTTTTAGAGTGGGAATAATACTACTACCTATCTCAGAGTTCTGTTGTGAGGATATATGAATTGAGTTAATATATGCAAAGAGCTTAGAAAAATGCCTGGCACATAGTAAGCTCTATGTGTTAGCCATTGTTACTGTCGTTGTTGTTGGAGGTACATTACAATACACCGGCCATGTCTACATGGATAAAATCCCAGGTTCGCAGCCCTTGTTCCCATGTGTTTCCCTAGCATTTCAGGAGGCTCTGTTTGGAGGAGCCAAATTTCAAGGGTTCAGCTGCCAAGGGCTGATTAATAGTTCCATTAATTCTGCCTCCTAAATCCCTAAAATGCAGCCCATTTTCATATCCACAGCCAAGTCTCCCTATAATGAAGCTGCCTAGATCCCCCATGGGTTCTCTGAACCCAACTTCATCTCCTGCCCACAAAATTGTCTCTGCCTTCCACTTTCTTTAAGTTAGATAGATGCCCCATCCTCCCACTTGTCTAAACCAGAAATGAGTAATCCTTGACTGATCTGTTTCCATAATTTCTCATATTTTTCTTCTATCTTTTTAATTCATTCGCTTCTCTCCAAACCCATAGCCCCTGCCCAGGTTCAGGCCCCAACATCCATCACCTGTATTATGACAACATCCCTCTAACTGGTCTCCTACCTCCAGTAACTCCTTCTCCAACCCTTGTTTCACAGAACAACCAGTGTGAGTACAAACAAGGCACCTCACGACACCCCTTTCCTCACTCCACTGAAACCCCCTCAATGGCTCTCCTTGCAGAGGAGATTAAACCAAGAGGAGATCCACGTTATTTCTAGTCAGCTGTCCGTGTCCCCTCCATATCAAATCATGCCAATGAGTCCAGTTGTCTCCTGTTTTGGGTGTTTCTACATCGTTTTCCATGTCTAAGATGCCCTGTTCTTCCTGGCAAACTCCTACTCACTCCAGATCCAGATCAAACTCTTTCTCATCTGTAAGGCCTTCATTTTCTTTTGAGCAGAGTTAATTTCTTCCTCTGTTCCAGCCCTGCCTCTCCTCTACTGAAACATCTGTCACACTAGATTGCCTCTATCCTTTTGCCTGTTCTCCCCCACCAGACAATATCTGGAGAGCAGGACACACATATATTCTCTGGGTCCCCAGTGCCTAGCACAGGGCCAGCCACAAAACAGACAACCAACAACTGTTTAAAGAATGCAGTGAAATTCATTAACAGAAGTGAAGTAGTTCTTGATCTTCTTTAGACAAAGGGTGACCAATTAGAAAATGAATCCTGTCATTCAGTGAAGCCAAGAACATGCCCAGGCCTGACATCTCCTATAGTGCCCATACCTTGAGGTTGTGGGACTTCACTCAAACCTCAAAAATGTCTCAGAACAAAAAAGATTCAAGTGGTCAGAGAGGCGTGAGCCTTGATTACATCAGAGATTACCCCGCTTGGGTTATCTTTGAAAATACTTCAATTCAGAGCAGAGATTAATTGGTAACACTTCTCTATTTTCATGTCTCCTTCATGATTACACTTTCCCAAAGGGAAAGGAGTATGCAATTAAAAAAATCAAAGTTCAATACATTTTTATGTGACTGTGTTCTTATAAATGAAAGTGGTTCACCAAGGCCAATTTCTCCATGGATATTAATCAGGTTTGCAGCCCTTTGGTGGGCCACTTGCAGAGGCTGGGTTTCAAGAAGCCACGCTGTGTGAGTGACAAACTCATTCACAGCTGTTGTGTACTTTGACAGCTTTGAAAAGCACTCAAGGTCGTTTTCCAGCCTGAATGATAATGAGGGGGCTTGTTTAGGTGGCTGGTTTTGGCAGCCCTGGTTTCTGTGTCCCATGGGTGAGCAATGAGCATCAAGTCACCAAGAAGAGCCCTAGGCTGTCAGCAAAGGAGACCAGCCAGCATCGAGGAGCTGCCAACTCTGGGAAGGCAGCTGCTCCAAATAAATGCACAACCTCTTAGGGAAATACAAGCCACTTGGGAATGTGCTGTTCATGCCATGGGAAGGATTCTGTTTCCCTGACACTGTCAGACACCAGAATTTCCCAGGCCCCCAGGATTTAAGCATTTCTGAATCAATCTCTTTCTTCAACTCATCACTAATTAATCACCAGGATAGATCTATTGAGTGTGTTTATTTGAAATGTCTCTTCCGGCTCAGTGGCTTTGCAGCCTAGCGGCGAAGTGCTTAGGTGATGGATCCAAGGGGCCTGTGTTCGAGTTCTGATTCTGCCACTCACACTTCACACTAGCTGTGACTTTGAAAAAGTGGCAACATCCCAGCCTGAGTTTCTCATCTATAAAATGGAGATAATAATGGTATTCACCTCACAGTGTGGCTGTCAGGAACAAACAAAATAATAACATGTAAATTGCATAGCACAATGCCTGACACACAGGCTACTCCCAGTGAATGCTGGAGCTTGTTTCTCACTATTATAACTGTTCCCTTTTCTCCATTCCTTAAGACACAGGCTAGGTCAGGTGTGGTAAGGCCCATTCCACCCCACATTTGAGCCTCACCTCCACCTCTGCCCTATATTCTACACAATCACATCCTCCTCCAGCCTTGCTCTCATCGGGCTGTGTCCCTGCCTAGAAAGTTTCAGTTCTCTGAACTGTCTGCAGAGATAGGTCACATTCCTTGCATGATATTCAAGGCCCTTCATTAATGGGCTCCAACAACCTCTTCCGCCTGAACTCTCACCTCTTTTCAATGAAGATCCTGTTTGGGTCAGGGAGCCTGCTGTCCCTTGTCCCCAGAGTCCATTCCTATTCGGTTTCACTGCCAAGACACTGCTCATGCCATCCCTGTCCAGAACATCCTCCCTGTAGCTATCTTCTCTCACACACTCTGCTTCTCCCTTGGCATCTAGCTAAGCCCTCTCCAAAGCCTTCCATAACTACTCCCACTCATCCCTCACTTTCCTTCTCTCCTATGTGAGGATCCCCAGAGTGGTTTCTGTCTACCCCATACATTCTGGCATTTATAGCATTCCCAAGGTGCTCTGAGTAGAGGACAGAGCATAGAATGAGGAAGATCGAGACCTCTATTTGGGTCCTCTCTGCCACTCACTAGTCAGGTGGCCTTAGCCTTAGCTTCCTCATGTGTACAGTATGGGCAAGTCTCTGCTCTGCCTGCCTCCCAGGGTTATCAGGAAGATGAGATTGGATCACCCATGTGCAGGTATTCTTTGCTGCACCACTTCCAGATCTCATCAGTATACACATTGTTTCTTATGCCATCAGTCATGGTTAATCCACATAAGTCTTGTCTCCCCAGTGACATCCAGAGGACAGAGGGATTATTTTTTCTCCGCTTGCACCTATAGGAGCTAGCAAGAGACACCCAAATAACCCAAGCTTTTATGAGAAATTTTTAATACAGGCAATAATAGTGGTTGCCAGAACTTCAACTCTTACCTTGAGCAATGTCATCATATGTATTCTGGTTGACCATCCGCTCCATGATCTTAGCAGCTTGGGACAATTTGATGAGATCATCAGTCTGTGGGGATACAGAAACTTCAGGTCCTCATAAACCAGCACTTAGCAAGGTCATATGTCCTGAGCCATGTCACCCTTGCAATTGATTCAGCAGTAGCTCTCTGGCACTACTCACCCCAGATAGCTCTGTAAAGGTTTCTCTGCATGTCTCAAGGCCCAGCTCATGCCACTACCCTCTTCTAGGAACTCCTACCTCACAAGTGGCACAAAGGGTCTGAGCTGATATACTTGGCCCCTGGGTAGAACCTGCTTCATGCTTTCATTCTGGACTTGTTTTGGAGAAGGCCTATCTCTGAGCACAAGACAGGGCATTGAAGAGAGCCCAGGAAGGGTCTGCAGGGGAGAGCAGACAAGGGCAGGTTGGAGCCTTCTTTGGTGGAGACAGAAAAGTTTTACCAGCTCAGAGAGTGAAAGACTCCCATTAAAGGCCTCAAAGATCATGTGGTTTTATCCCTTACTCAGTTACAGGCTGAGGAAGGCACCAAGGCCCAAAGAGGGGAGAGACATGCTTACATACATGGAGTACAAGGCAGAACTGAGACTCCTAATTCCAGGCCCTCCCCACAGCCCAGACCAATGAGAAAGCAGGAAGCTTAACTTCAGGAAAACGTGACTCATCTTGAACCAAAAGGAAGCTTGCCATTGTGTGAAATTCCATAAATCCCCAAGATGAGGTGCTTGGCAGGTTGACAGAAGAGCAAAGAGTTTGGGACTAACAGGAAAGGCCCAGAGGGCTTAGGGCAGGTGGCAGGAGTGAGCCAGCTGAATGGGCAGCCCTCCAGGGTAGGGTCAGGGGGCCAGGCCCATGGCTCCCAAGGATTCGATGTCTCAGAAACAGCAGCGTCAGGTAGCGGTTAAAAGGATGGGTTCTAGAGCCGCACAGACCTGCACTCCTATCCCATCCCACCAAAATTAGAACCCGGTGGCAACCTCTGGCAAGTTATTTAGCTTCTCTGAGTCTTAGACTCCTCCTGGTAAGTGGGGGCGGATGGTGGCATCTGCCTCATCAGGTCATTGTGATGGTGAAATGTGATAATACATGTTAGTGTCTAACCCAGTTCCCGGTGGTGATGGTGTCAGAGGAAACATGCAGAGTAGTGCAGCGAAGGGTTATGAAGTCACTTCTGGGGAACTGACCTTTGAGGACCTTTTGCCACGCCTGAAAGAGACTCCAAGTTTATCTTTGAAAACTGACCAAGAAGGGCATTCACTGGAGTCTTGCAGTCACGGACCTCAGAGTTCACCTGGTTCCAGCTACGCTCTCTATTCTCTGACCCAGAGCAGGAATCCTCTCCCCTTAGCAGCTTCCTGGTAAGTGTGACTCTCCCCAGGTCAGGCAGTGTTTTCTGTGGCCAGATAGCCAGTTAACTGAAACTCCCTCCCTGCATCTTCTACCTATGGGCCCAACTCTGTCCTCTGGCCACAAGGAATTGGATGCTTGGTGAGAGCTCCTTTGAGGTAGGAGGACACAGCCACATGCCCTCAAGTCAGCACTTCCTCGGGTGACTCCTCCCAGCTCCATCAGTCATGAAATGGCATATCAATAACAATAGCTACCATTTATTGATCAGTAGCACAAAAGTGTTATGTTAGGGGCTGCACCGTATTATCTTGGGTTCTCATGAAAATCTTGCAAAGTAGGTATCATTAGGGTATCTTTACAGATGAAGAAACTGAGGTTTCAGAAAAACTGAGCTAACAAATGGCAAAGCCAGGATATAAATCCAGGTCTGTAGGTTCCAGGGTCCATGCTCTCAGACCCACACAGTGAGCCAGTGCCTCCCCAGTCTGACCACTCCTCTCCTGGCCCTGGGAGATGCAGGTTTCCAGTTGTGTTCTGAGGAGAGTGTTGTGGGCTGTCACCTCCCTTGTCCCAGATACTATGCTACTGGAGCAGCCACACATCTTTATTAGTTCTCACTGAACTTGCAGCCTGTGAGCCCTTTCCTCCTTTCCTACCTAATTATTCAGATCAGACAAATGTGCATTGATTTCTGTGCATTCACTCAAATCACTAATGAGACAGAGACCTGAGGTCCACCAAGGAGGCCCTTCCTATAGGATATCATGAAGTTTTTATCTTTTCTCCCCTCCAGCACATTTGAGTTTTCTACCCACATAATCAGACCCCATTCTTTGAGGAAGGGGTGTCACTCTGTTCAACCACTGGGCCTGGGCAATGGGGAAGGTGACTGCCTTTCCCACTGTGTTGCACAGACAGCCTGGCCCAGTACTTGGGATTTCTAATTATTGCCTTGGGGAGAGGGTGCACACCAAGGCATTCACTAGGTGGGGCTGGGGGAGGGTGTCCTGCCTCCCATGTGGACTCTTGGTCCAGAGGGCTGGAATCTGCTTGTACCATAGTCTTCCAAGTCAGCTAAGCTGGAAGAGTCCAGTGTGATGGAGAGAGATGGTCCCTCATCCCTGAGGATGTTAGACACCAACTCTGCAAGGCTTAGAAGACACAGGTCAGATTCTAGTCTCAGTCACAGGGACTTTTCTTCTGGTTTCTAGATCCTGGTGATTATAGTTGAGGTTTCTGCAACCATGGGTCCCAGTACAGAGCTTATAACCCCTGATGGATCTTCATGTGAACCCTGACCTAGGCCAGTGGCCCCTGTGAAGCCTCTAACCTCTAGAGAATGGATCAGGGGAAGCCAAGGGTCTGCACAGAGTAGCAGGGCAGGGGCTCCATCTTTCACCTCAGAGTTCCAGTACCCGCACGGCCATGATCACTAGGTACTTGGTCAGTGACTGAATAAAACAGCATTGGGACAGTTCCTATAAAGCCAAGGCAGGGTACCCTCAAACTTCCCCTAAAATGTGACATGATCAGGATAATGAAACAGAATTAAGCGAGAGTGGACACATCTCAGGCATAGGAAGCAGCACTTCCTTTATCTGGTCCAGCTTCAATTCTGGAGTGGAGCAGAACCACTTCCCCGAGAGCAGCCATGGGAACTCTCCGAGGTGCTGAAAACCAGCCCCCAGATTCCTGTGGACATTGTCCCTCCCACGCCACTGCAAGTCAAACCCATCCTGATCCACAATGGGACTCTGGTTCCTGATCCAGATTTCTGTCTGTTAAAGGGACAAATGTGGCCCTTCAGCGTCTCCCTGTGGCGACCCTCCCTTCAGTGACTCCCTATAGTTGCATCACTGTGACTCCCACGATGATTCCCCAAACCTGTGCTGGCTAGACCCACAGTGAGCCCCCCTCAACCATGACCTTTATAATGACTTCTACATGGCTCTTCATGGAAAATCTAGCCCAGGGTGGCCAAATCCATTGGCCTAGCATTTATGGTACCTATGATCATCTCTGATCTGGCTCCTGGCCCTGAAGATTCACCTACAGTATAGGACATAAGTAAACCCAAGTACTGAAAGTGAAAAAACATCTCACTTTCCCAGATCCTATAAGCCGTTGCCGAGGGAAGTGGTGCCTTATCCTCACATCCCACCCCCACCTGAGCACACTCCCCAGCTCTTCCAGAAGGCATATAGTGCTTTCAATAAGGAATATGTCTTCTGTTACCCTCTAGCTCAATAATTCTGAAATACTGCTAGCCTCCAGATCTATCTTACTGGGGGGAGGTATGGAATGCTAGAGGCAGTTGTAGCTCTCCTCACATCTTCCCCTAAGGAAAGAACTATTTATATCTCAACATTAGTCCCTGATTTAAGTATCTGTGAACCCCTCCCAGACAGCCAGGCTTCTGTCTACCCAGAGGCCAAGGCCTCATTCAGAAATTCTGTGGCAGAGCTGTAGGAACTAACACCAAACCTGAGACTCCATAGATGTCAGCTTCCTCATGGCCATCTTCCCTGATTTTTTAGCCACTGGGGTCTTTGCCTTCTCCTTCTCTTTGGTCTTTTCCTGCTTCTCAAGTTCCTCTACATAGGCATCATAGATCTCCCACTAGGCAAGGGTGAGATAAGAAGGATCATTGTAAGGTGCAATCTTTACCCAGACAGCTCTTTTCAGCCTTCAAGACTTAAGGAATTGGTCATGTTAACCCTGGCAACAAGCATCTTCTACTTGGCCTGTTGGAATTAGGTATTCAATACCTGTCTTCCCTACTATCAGCTCTGGAACAAGAATGAAAGAGTTCTAAGGACATCTCTGGGCTGGGCTTACATACCCTGAAACCCAGAGGCTGGGTCTTCAGCTGAAGATCAACATTGTTCTAGCATGCAGCCCCCAGCAGGCAGAACAAATGGGCAAACATCAGGCTAGTTCCCATTTTTGTTGGTGATTTAAAAGACTCTGAACTAGAACATTTAAAAAAATAGGCCAGGCACAGTGGCTTACACCTGTAATGCCAGCACTTTGGGAGGCTGAGGCAGGTGGATTGTTTGAGCCCAGGAGTTCAAGACCAGCCTAGGCAACATGGCAAAAACTCCATCTCTACAAAAAATACAAAAATACGCCAGGTGTGGTGGCATGCCCCTGTAGTCCCAGCTACTCAGCAGGCTGAGGTGGGAGGATCGCTTGAGCCCAGGAGGCAGAAGTTGCAGTGAGCCAAGACCGTGCCACTGCACTCCAGCCTGGGTGACAGAGCAAGGCCTTGTCTCAAATATATATATATATATATATATATATATATATATATATATATCTTCATATCCCCACCCCCACCCCGGACATGGCATAAACATACTGGCTCGGGCTGGCTGTCTATGGCACTGACCACATCTCAGCATTAAAAGGAGATAAGCAAAAGGTAAGGGAACATTTGCTAAATGGATCTGACAGGAAGAGAAGCCCAAGGATAGTAGCAGAGGAAGCAGCAAGGATCTGGGGCTGGGCAAATGCCCCTCATCACACCGTGTGCTCCCTAGAGCTGGGAAGTCACTGCCACCTGGAGGTCAGATAAGCAAACCTTACATTTAATAACTCCCCCCCAGTCTCCTATTCCACATTGCAAAGTACTCTAATCTTTGTTATCTCATTCAGACCCTCCAACAACTCTGTGAGGCAGCTTGTCATCCTCTCTTTAGAGAGAAAGAAACTGAGGCATTAAAAGTGACATGGTTTGCTCAGGATCTTAAAGTATGAACAGAAAATGTGAGGTCTGAGATCAGGTCTCC
The DNA here is from genome assembly GCF_000001405.40 of Homo sapiens. Lineage (NCBI taxonomy): Eukaryota > Metazoa > Chordata > Mammalia > Primates > Hominidae > Homo > Homo sapiens. Next base: position 34,492,021 of record NC_000009.12, on the reverse strand, counting down.
TGGCACCATATCCTGTTCAAATAAGTGTGGCCATCCAGGAGGACTTGAAGGGGGAGGAGGGGGGCTGCAGGAACACTGAAGGCTGCTGGGAGGGCAGGGTCAGAGTGCTAACACTTTGGAGTCAGTCACAGAGTCACAGGGTGCCACAGGTTCCAGAGAGTCCATCGAAGCAAATGTTCTCCCCTGGTCATGGAAGAAGCTCCATCCAGAAGCCATGCCTGTTTCCAGCTTGCACAACCTTGCCCTTGAGTCACGTGGCTGGCCCACAGCTCACTGGATAGGGACCTACTGTCTCATGTGCCTGGTGTTCAGAGCCTGGATGCTCAGGACAGTGAGCAGGGAGGCAAGTAGATGAGGAGGGCAGACTGCCAGAGGAGCCCTTGACCCAGTGTTGCCTTTGCTGCTAAATGAGGAAAGGATACATAGAGGTGGGTGGTAAGAGGTTTCAGGCTGGCCCAGGGTCTTACCTGATTGGCTGTGGCTGAAAAGTTTGTCCTGGGAGGAGGCTCCGTCTGGCATTCTCGATCCTAAAGAACAAGACAACAGGAGACCCACAAAAAGCCCTCAACTCCTTCTCACTTAATCCAACAGTATATCTTTGAGAGAAGCATTTTGGCTGGGGCTGATGGAGGTTTGGGACACAGAGCTGGGGAAGTAAAGAGGGGCTTGGGTGAATAACTGAATGATGCATTCAAAGCCCATATTGTGTCCATTCTGGCCTCCTTCAGAAGAAGTATAAGCTAGAAAGCAGGGGCAGGGAAGCCTGACTGTGCCCATTTTAACCAAGATACAGTCTAAGTGGGGGATGAACAGACCTGCAGGATGCCAGGCCAGGGCATAGAGGTCAGCCTCTGTCAGGCCATCAGACTAACACCCCTTGCCCTGAGAAGGCCTCTCTAATATGAGGGTCTCTGGCTCCACCAGGGGAATGGGCCCCCTTCCCATTCTGTATCACCCAGATTACCAAATGTTAGCATAGGGACCACACAGGGTGATGAGGCACTGTCAAAAACTCACCCTGTAGACCTCGCCCTCCATCTGTAGATTCATTTCTGTAGAACCCTCCCCTTACGTGTGAGTCTCTCACCTGAAACGCTGAGAGGCTCCCTCAGCCTGGTTCTCAAGAGCCTCTGAGTCAGGGAACTTTCTGGCCTTTGCCAGCTGGTCTATCACAGAGATCATCAACTTCAGTTGAACTGGCTCCTAGGCCTCCTGTTCCCTGAACACACTGTGGCCTCCCCTCCCCTCCCAAGTCCTAATTTCTACCCCTCTACAAAGCTCAGATCCAGCTGAAGCCTTCCAGTGGAGTTTTGGGAGCTCTAGCCTCCATGTTACTCCCTCTAAACTCCTGCCTGGATAGCTTACAGAGACCTGAACACATGCTCTCAGCTCTCCTTGGGGAGATAAGCTGTAGCATCTGTTGTCCTGTCACCCCTGCCAGGCTGAGGTCTGCTAGGGCCAGGGTCAGGCCTGCTTCTTCCCTGCCAGGCACAGTGAAGAGCTGCAAAGGGGCTAGGGTGGGGGCTGCTCTACCCGGACAGGGTTGTTGTAGGTCTGTGAGGCCCTCTCACTGAAGTTGAACTGGTTAGTGAGCTTTCTCTCCTTGGGCTGCTTAGGAGTCATCAATTCTTCTTCAGTCACTTTTTCAGCTGCCTGAAAATAAAGACCCAGAGGATCAGGAATCAGCTGTGAGAAGGTGGTAGAAAACCGGGAGATGGGGCAAGCCCTGTCCTAGGATAGGACAGAGGTAGGAGAGAGTGATGCTGCCAGACACATTGGCACCTGCAGCCTCTATTCTCACCTTAGGTCTCCCTCCTCCTTTCCCAAGTTACCCATGAAGCCTCCATCCACAGCTTGAGCTGGAAGAAGAGGGACACAGAGCGATATTATACTGTACCCCAGCTGCAGGCACATCTGTTTGACTCCCAGGCTCAGTTTCTAACTCCTTGGGCTCTTCGTCTTCTTCGAGGTTTCCTGTTTCTGAAATCACCTTGACAGACTCCTGAGAACCTTGGTAGGATACTGCCAATGAGTTCAAAGTCTAAGCCTGCTCTCCCAATCTGTGGCAGGGAGGGCTTTCTTGGTTTCTGCCTGGGGTTTTCCTTGGCCTGAGTGTCATGGGTTAGCTCCCTGACCTATTCAGGACAACCAGCTATTGGGCTTTTTTTTTTGAGACAGAGTCTCACTGTGTCGCCAGGCTGGAATGCAGTGGTGGCACAATCTCGGCTCACTGCAACCTCTGCCTCCCAGGTTCAAGTAATTCTCCTGCCTCAGCCTCCCGAGTAGCTGGGACTACAGGTAAGTGCCACCACGCCCGGCTAATTTTTTGTATTTTTAGTAGAAACGGGGTTTCACTGTATTAGCCAGGATGGTCTCGATCTCCTGACCTCATGATCCGCCCGCCTCAGCCTCCCAAAGTGCTGGGATTATAGGCAAGAACCACCCTGCCCGGCCTGGAGTTTATGTTAGCAGAAGCTCTGAAAAGTTCTGGCTTAGAGGTATACTCCCTAGAGTGACCAGAATAAGGGGAACAGGCTCAGGGCTGTAGCTTCAGGATGGCCCAGAGTCCTACCTGCCACTAATTCATCGCGGTAATGCTGCCGCCGTCCTTCATCTGAGTCTTTGGGGATCAGGTTCCCAACCTGGGTGTAGTGAACTGCCAGTTGGTTCACAAAGCCAATAGGCTTATATGTGCCTTCCTAAGAAGAGAGGGGCTGAGTCAGACCAGGGATCCCTAAAAGAGCTGGAGTCAAAATGTAATCTGCTTTCATTCTCTAAGATCAAAGACAGTCCATCTTTGTTAAAGGAAATGTAACTCACCAAATCCTCAGTTAATCTGAAGTTTTCACTGCATTTCAGTTTAAAGAAGAAAAGGAAGAGAAGACAAATGAAATAAAATCTTTTTTAAAGTTATCATCAAGGATTTATTTTAAAATACCTTGCCTTTCCAACCTCAAGTGGCTCCAGATTTGCCTATCACTGGCTTATATGTCTTGTCTCCTACTTCCATGCCAAGGGTTTCAAGTTCACTTGCCATACCACATACCCTGGGCAGATAGAGTCATCAAACACACCTGGCATAACCCTCTCTCCACTGTACTTAGTGGATTCTAAAGCTGGATAGATCTTCAGAGACAACCCCAATCCCCTAGTTCCATACAAGAGGACCATGGAATTCCAGAAAAGATATGGGTTGGCATTTGTCCGGGTCACACAGCAAATGAGAAGCAGGATTAGGCTTACAGCCCAGGTCATTTTGTTCATCCATTCTTGAAATAATTTTTGAACAGCCTCAATGTGCCAAGTATTTTCCAGGTGCCTGGGATATAAAGCTGAGAAAAAGTAGACACAATCCCTTATTTCACAGAGCTTGTAGTCTGGTTCCTGCAGATAGCCTCCTCATTGATCAGCACCCTTGCAACCACTAAAATTGACTTAGAGACCGGAGATCTCTTCCTTCTTTTAAAACAGATATGCAAACCCTTTTCAAGCCATATAGAAACTATGTTTGTATGGCACACTACGGTAAACTCACAGTAGAGGAAACCAGTTCATGGGGTCCAGTTGCACAGATCTCCCTGCCCCTGGAGGGCTGGAAGGATCGCCATCACACAGGTTGGGAAGCTCTGTATTTAAAAGTCACCACAGAGCCCTTCTTCTTTCAGTAACTCAGATGTATGGGAAGACAAGTCAGTGCAGTGGTTAAGAGCATGGTCTTTGGAGGCAGGCAGAGTTGGGTTTGAATCTTTATTCTGCTGCTTCTTATCTTCATGACTTTGGGCTTAACCACTCTAAGCCCTAAGTTCTTCATCTATAAAAGAAGGCTAATACTATCTAATTTGCATGATAATTATAAGTATTAAAAATAATAAAAACAACCTATTAACACAGTGTCTGACACATAATAAATGCTCAATATTAATGTTCAATAAAATAGTAACTATTTTCATGATGAAGATTCCCAAGGAATAAATTACCCTTACAGTTTCATTTGAGATTTCACCTTCATCTTGTCCCCAGTAGTTGACTGGGATCTTCCTCTTCAGTTTAGGAATGAAACCCAGACTCCATTGCTTCTGTGAGGGGAGGGAAGGCATGCCTAGATCAGAACCATCTACCTCTCTACTCCACCACATCAAAGGAAAGTAGCAGCTTTGGGGACCTAAAGCTCTTTCAGGACCAATGAGATGGAAACTAGTTCTGTGGGAAGATGCCACCAGTCACGGGAGGCTATTGGGAGGTTGGGTAAGGTGAGCTTTCCCAGAAGACTTGGGCTCCTAAATGAGGGGCAAGAAGAGTACGTTGAAATTGACAAGGCAATGCCAGTCCTCTGCCTGTAGTGTGCTTCCCATGGTCAGCACACTGAGTCCTACAGAGGTCCTCTTTCAGATGTCAGAAGAACAGGAGCCCATAGAGTGTACTGTGCTCCAGCAAAACATCAGGGAGGATAAGGCAGCTTCCCTCTGACCTTTTCGGGCTTCCCAAGGGAAGCCATTCGCAAAACTCACAAGTAGCACCTTTCAAGAAATGTTTCTGGGGCCAGGCGCAGTGGCTCATGCCTGTAATCCCAGCACTTTTGGAGGCTGAGGCGGGCAGATCATGAGGTCAGGAGATTGAGACCATCCTGGCTAACATGGTGAAACCCAGTCTCCACTAAAAATACAAAAAATTAGCCGGGTGTGGTGGCGGGCGCCTGTAGTCCCAGCTACTCGGGAGGCTGAGGCAGGAGAATGGCATGAACCCGGGAGGCGGAGCTTGCAGTGAGGCGAGATTGTGCCACCACTGCACTCCAGCCTGGGCGACAGAGCGAGGCGCAGTCTCAAAAAAAAAAAAAGAAACATTTCTGGATTTGTTTCAGCCTCTTTGTGTAGTGGTTGACTACACAATCTTAAATAAGAAGCAGTGTGTTCAACTAATCTTTCACAAACACTCGCACACAAATGTTCATAGCAGCATTAGTCATAATAGCCAAAAAGCAGAAACAATTCAAATGAACATCAACTGATGAATGGATAAATAGAATGTAGTATATTCATACAAGTGAATATTATTTGGCAATAAAAAGAAATGAAGTAGTGACACATACTACAACATGAATTGAAAACATCATGCTAAGTGAGACGAGCCAGTCACAAAAGACCACATGGTGTATAATTCCACTTATATGAAACGTCCAGAATAGGCAAATCTATAGAAACAGAAAATAGTTCAGTGGTTGCTGAGGGCTGGAAGGGATGGAAGACTGAGGGGGAACAGCTAAGTGGCTTGGGGTTTCCTTGCGGGGAAGTGAAAATGTTCTAAAATTGTGGTGGTCATTGTACAACCCATAAATGTACTAAAAGCCACTGAATTGTACACTTTAAGTGGGTGAATTGTATAGTATATGAATTAAATCTCAATAAAATTTTCAAAAAAACAAAAAAATAAATTCTTCTTGTCTTCAGGAAAGAGGACGGGGAGAGAGGGAGGTTTCATTTTGACTGTGTTTTCATTTTTTTTGAATCTTTTGAAATTTGTACCATAGGTTTCTATTATATTTTCAAAATATTATACACATATATATTTTAAATTTTTTTTAAAGAAGCAATGTAATGTTGCTTTGGAGTCAGACAAACTAGTTGAAATCTTGCTTTGAATTCTGGTCATGTAACTTTTGTAATTTGTTTATCTAATTTAATCTAAGTTTTCATAAAATTAGAATATTAATAGTCCCTGTACCAAAGAAAGGGGAGGATTATATGAGATATTTTATGTAAAAAACCTAATATAGGACCTGACACTGGCACACAGTAAGCATGGAACAAATGGGTCTCAGAATAACGAAATAGGAAACATATGCACCCCTTCCACTGCAGCTCAAATGTACTCGGAAATTCTCTTCAGTTCATAACCACAGGAGCTGACCTTGCTATGAGTGAAAAGAGTATTGTCCCCTATATAGGCATATCAATATGTGTCTATCAGGTCAGAACTTACCCACCCACGCCATGTGTACTAAAGGAGGGCCCTGAGGAGGTCACCGGCCTGTCTGGCGGTGATGTCAAGAAACGCTGAGACTGGAGCCTGCTAGAACTTCTCCAGTGGGGCTGGGGGTGGGGAGGGGAGAAGACCAGCTCCTTTTGTCTAGAGGGAAATTGTACTCCATCCAGATGGCTGGCTAGAGGAAAACTCAGCTTTTGAAGACTCAATAGTTTATGTTAGTGAAAAATGTGTTACATATATCAGAAAAGCATTTTTCTAACCAAATGATTCATTTCAAGATTCTTGAAAAGACTGGCTCTGCAGGACACTTAAGACCACAATCAGCAAGACTGCAAGGGAGATTCATAAAGAAATTTCAAAAACTTCTAGAAAACTCCATATGAAATCTGAGGATTCTAGCCAAGGACCTCAGTTTAAAAGTGCTCTCCTCTAGAATTACTGAGAGGCTTTTGCAATGTAGCAAGTCACTGTCACTCCAAGGAGATGGGTATAGATGCCCCTGCCCAGGAGGGGATGACTTACTTTGAAGCTGTACCTGACAATGTTCTGGGGTGCGTGTGGGTTGTTGGCTGTCAAAATCCGAGTGAACTCCTCCTTTAACTCCTGAGGGAGAAAAATACCAAGAGGGTCATACATGAAGACCCCCCAACCCTATCTGAGGCTTAGAAGGATCCCTCAGAGTATCAGCAGACATCTCACACCCAGGTTCTGGGCAAGCTCCTAATCATGTACTATGGAAGAACACATCTCCGAAACTGGAAGAGGTACAAGGAGCAAGAACAAGAGGCTACTCACTCACCGCATCGGTCAACTCCAGCTGGTCAGGGGGTCTAACTGTGGCTTTGGATTGGGCCCATTCATCTGTGCCTTCTCCCACTTCAGTCCCTGAATCTTCATCCTAGACAAAAACCTCACATGAGGCTTGGGAGTGTCTTTTCTGCTTGGACAAGCATACAGAAAGCCCCTTCATTCACAAACACTCCCAGAAGCCAAGCTCTGCCCCTTGTATGTAGAATACAAAATGTATAACATACCACTCATGAAAGAGTCCAAAAGAACTGCTCAGGCCAGAGTTCTCATTGCCTGGAAGATCCTGGCCACCTCTGCCCTGGGGGTCAGGCTTAGCTGGAACTTGGAATGTTGTGGTAGGCCTCTGGCCCCAGTAGTGGGACCAGAAGAACTGGTTCCTCCCTACTGCCTTCTGTAAAGCCCAGAAGCTAATGTTTAGGACTAACAGCCAAAGGCAGGGCTTTATGCAAAGTGGTTTAGACATCAAGAAAGGATAATAAGCTGTTACTTCAACTCTAATTTATATTTTATCTTCCCAACTACCACCTTAAGGTTACTCAATACTCTCTGTACTTAGTTATTTTAAGCCTCACAGTCCCATTAGGTCCTTGGAGCAAAAAAATCAAGGACTAGAAGGTTTGCCTTTCCCTGGTAGACACTTAAACATGTTGCCAAAGTGGCCCATGATATATTTTTTTAAATGTTCACTCTCACTAACAATCAAAATTATACAAAATAAAACAATGCATTTTTTCACTATAAAATTGGCAAACTATAAAACAACCAAAACGAATATCCAGCATTCATGGGGCTGTAGGGAAATGAGCACTCACAAATTAGTATAACCTTTCTAAAAATCAATTGGAAAATATTTATCAAAGCCTAATAACTGTTTATACTCTTTTACCCAAATTTGTACATGTAGGAATTTATATTAAGGAATATGCCCAAAGATTTAGGTGTACTGATGTTAGAGGATTTATAATAACAGTGAAAAAGAAAACATTTATTTTTATTTATTTTTATTTATTTATTTGAGATGGAGTCTTTCTCTGTCACCCAAGCTGGAGTGCAGCGGCACGATCTCGGCTCACTATAACCTCCACCTTCTGGGTTCAAGCAATTCTCTTGCCTCGGCCTCCCAAATAGTTGGGACTACAGGCATGCACCACCATGCCTAGCAAATCTTTGTATTTTAGTAGAGATGGGGTTTCGCCATGTTGGCCAGGCTGGTCTCGAACTCCTGACCTCAAGTGATCCACCTGCCTCGGCCTCCCAAAGTGCTAGGATTACAGGAGTGAGCCACCACACCCAGCCAAAAAAGGAAGCATTTAAATGTCCACCAATGAGGCATGGTTGAACAAATTATGGTACAGTCTTAAGGAACATATGGTAAAATATTATGTAGTAATTTCAAATGATGCTATAAAAATATATTTATTAGCAATGGAAGGCACTCTAAATATTTTATGTGAAAAACATGTTATAAAATAACATATATAGTTTGGTTCCACTTAAAAATAAATATATCTCTCTTATTCCTCCAAAGAAAAATAATAAATACATGTAATTTTATATATGCATAAAAATATCTGAGAGGATGTAACATCACATGTTAACTAAAGTTATTATAAGGTGGTAGGTTTAAGGGTGATTTTAACATTCTTCTTTTAGTTCATTTGCATTTTCTAAAAACACATAAATAATATTTTCAACAAAAAAAACACTATTAGCATCTTGCTGAGAGACCATGGTAGTCTCAGCACTTACTCTCTTCCTGGTTCCTCTGCCTATGCTGATGCTCTAAATGAAGAACAGAAAACAGAAGGTAAGTCATAAGCAAATTGACATGGAAATATCATAAACAGTATTTCAGGGAGGCTCCTGCCCAGGGATCTCACAGTCAAAGTGAGAGGTGACAGCGTGCTGGCAGTCCTCAGAGCCCTCGCTTGCTCTCGGCACCTCCCCTGCCTGGGCTCCCACTTTGTGGCATTTGAGGAGCCCTTCAGCCCCCCACTGCACTGTGGGAGCCCCTTTCTGGGCTGGCCAAGGCCGGAGCCCACTCCCTCAGCTTGCAGGGAGGTGTGGAAGGAGAGGCGTGGAGGGAGAGGCACCAGCGGGAACCGGGGCTGAGTGCGGTGCTTGCGGGCCAGCTGGAGTTCCGGGTGGGCGTGGGCTTGGTGGGCCCCGCACTCGGAGCAGCCAGCCAGCCCTGCTGGCCCCGGGCAATGGGGGACTTAGCACCCGGGCCAGTGGCTGCGGAGGGTGTACTGAGTCCCCCAGCAGTGCTGGCCCACCAGCACTGCGCTCGATTTCTCGCCGGGCCTTAGCTGCCTTCCCACGGGGCAGGGCTCGGGACCTGCAGCCCGCCATGCCTGAGCCTCCCACCCACTCCATGGGCTCTTGTGCGGCCCCAGCCTCCCCGACGAGCACCATCCTCTGCTCCACGGCGCCCAGTCCCATCGACCACCCAAGGGCTGAGGAATGCGAGCGCAAGGCGCAGGACTGGCAGGCAGCTTCACCTGCAGCCCCGGTGGGGGATCCACTAGGTGAAGCCAGGTGGGCTCCTAAGTCTGGTGGGGACGTGGAGAGTCTTTATATCTAGCTCAGGGATTGTAAATACACCAATCAGCACCCTGTGTTTAGCTCAAGGTTTGTGAGTGCACCAATCAACACTCTGTATCTAGCTGCTCTGGTGAGGACTTGGAGAGTCTTTATGTCTAGCTCAAGGATTGTAAATACACCAATCAGCACTCTGTATCTAGCTCAAGGTTTGTAAACACACCAATCAGCACCCTGTGTTTAGCTCAAGGTTTGTGAGTGCACCAATCAACACTCTGTATCTAGCTGCTCTGGTGAGGACGTGCAGAGTCTTTATATCTAGCTCAGGGATTGTAAATACACCAATCAGCACCCTGTGTTTAGCTCAAGGTTTGTGAGTGCACCAATCGACACTCTGTATCTAGCTGCTCTGGTGAGGACTTGGAGAGTCTTTATGTCTAGCTCAAGGATTGTAAATACACCAATCAGCACTCTGTATCTAGCTCAAGGTTTGTAAACACACCAATCAGCACCCTGTGTTTAGCTCAAGGTTTGTGAATGCACCAATCGACACTCTGTATCTAGCTGCTCTGGTGGGGACTTGGAGAACCTGTGTGTGGAAACTCTGTATCTAACTAATCTGATGGGGAGGTGGAGAACCTTTGTATCTTGCTCAGGGATTGTAACCGCACCAATCAGCGCCCTGACAAAACAGGCCACTCGGCTCTACCAATCAGCAGGATGTGGGTGGGGCCAGATAAGAATAAAAGCAGGCTGCCCGAGCCAGCATTGGCAACCTGCTCGGGTCCCCTTCCACACTGTGGAATCTTTGTTCTTTTGCTCTTTGCAATAAATCTTGCTACTGCTCACTCTTTGGGTCCACGCTGCTTTTATGAGCTGTAACACTCACTGTGAAGATCTGCAGCTTCACTCCTGAGCCCAGCAAGACCACGAGCCCACCAGGAGGAACGAACAACTCCAGACGCGCTATCTTAAGAGCTGTAACACTCACCGTGAAGGTCTGCAGCTTCACTCCTGAGCCAGCGAAACCACGAACCCACCAGAAGGAAGAAACTCGGAACACATCTGAACATCAGAAGGGACAGACTCCAGACGCACCACCTTAAGAGCTATAACACTCACCGCGAGGGTCCGCGGCTTCATTCTTGAAGTCAGTGAGACCAAGAACCCACCAATTCCAGACACAAAAGGAGGTTGAGCCTTCCCAAGTTTCAGAAACAGTCTCAGAGGCAACATATTCTTTTGCGCCCAGCCAGACAGGTCCTATATCTGAGGCAACCCAGTTTCAGCATCAGTGGGACTGACCCATGAAGATCACGACCAAGTAACTTAGCACTGGGAATTTATTTGCAACTGGTTCAACAAATATTTTTAAAGCATACTCTAAGTGTTCATCTCTGTACCAGGCAATAAAGAGATTTAAAAAAACATTATTATTACTATTTTGAGACAGAGTTTCACTCTTTCGCCCAGGCTGGAGTGCAGTGGCACAATCTCGGGTCACTGCAACCTCTGCCTTCTGGTTTCAAGCGATTCTCCTGCCTCAACCTCCCGAGTAGCCTCCCGGTTACAGGCGTCTGCCACCACGCCCGGCTAATTTTTGTATTTTTAGTAGAGATGAGGTTTCACTAGGTTGGCCAGGCTGGTATTGAACTCCTGACCTCAGTTGATCCGCCTGCCTTGGCTTCCCAAAGTGCTGGGATTACAGGCGTAAGCCACCACGCCCAGCCTATTTATTTATTTTTGAGATAGTCTTACTCTGTTGCCTAGGCTGGAGTGCAGTGGCACCATCTCAGCTCACTGCAACCTCCACCTCCCAGGTTCAAGCAATTCTCCTGCCTCAGCCTCCCAAGAAGCTGGGATTACAGGCGTGAGCCACTGCACCCAGCCTATTTTTTGTATTTTTTAGTAGAGACAGGGTTTCACCATGTTGGCCAGGCTGGTCTCAAACTCCTGACCTCAGGTGATCCACCCGCTTCAGCCTCCCAATGTGCTGGGATTATAGATGTGAGCCACTGCACCCGGCCAAAGGTGACGATTTCTTAACTGGATGTCAAAGGACAAGTATGCATTGTCTAGGTGGAGAAAATGTTTTTCAGAAGAAAACATCATGTACAAAGTTGGCCAGGCGCGGTGGCTCATGCCTGTAATCCCAGGCTGAGGTGGGCAGCTCACCTGAGGTCACAAGTTGGAGACCAGCCTGGTCAACATGGCGAAACCCTGTCTCTACTAAAAATACAAAAATTAGCCGGGTGTGGTGGCACACACCTGTAATCTCAGCTATTCAAGCGGCTGAGGCAAGAAAATCGCTTGAACCCAGGAGGCAGGGGTTGCAGTGAGCCAAGATCGCACACTGGACTCCAGCCTGGGTGACACAGCGAGACTCCATCTCAAAAAAAAAAAAAAAAAAAAAAAAGTTCCACCAAACAAACCAACAAAAATCCCACAGTATATATACAGAACAAATAGGTGTTTCAGATGATCAAGCATATGAGGGGACTGGAGACGTGAGGGAGGGGCTCCTGGAAGGAGCAGGCCTAGTGCACTGCAGGAGGGTTCAATGCAGCAGAAGAGCTGAAGGGCACACGTTGGTGGCAGCATGGCACATTGGAAAGGAACCCCTGCTTCCAGCTCTGTCACTGACCACTTGTGTGATCTTGGGGCAGCCTCAGTTTCCCAAATGCAAAGAGAGGGGAGTCAGTTTCCCAAATGCAAAGAGAGGGAGTTAGACTAGATGGGCACTTATAGCTCTTGCAGCTCTTGCATGATAGGGTCTTTGGGAGAGGGTTGGAGGGTGGAAGGGAGGAAAGGAATTCCAGGGAAAGAGAAAAGCATGTCTCATCTTGGGCTGGGATTGTTGCTGATAGAGCAGGCAGCAGGATTCAAATAGCTGTCAGGTTGCCAAGGTTTCCAATGATGGGAACCCTTCTCTGAGGCTAAGCCACACGAGCCAGAGAGCTACTTTCCTTTGGAGAGCCTCTGATCCATAAGGTAATGGGATGGAAGCGTCCCAACGTGTAACAACTTTCAGGCTCACAATAGAGCACAGGAGGGCCAATCCCAACCCAAACCACAAGCCTTAAATAGAAAACGAGATCCAGTTACCGCTGCCCCCTGTAAATATGTCTGTAAAACATTTATCTGGCAATAAAAGAACTGACAAGGCAATTTGAGTGTAATTGTTTTTGGCAGTTGGAAATATTTCAATTAACACACTATAAAAGCCACACTATAATAAATGCAAAACAGGCCAATGAAATCAGCTACAGCCCTAACTTCCCAACCATGGCAAAGGAGATAGAATGTCAGGCTGCCACTTTGGGCCCTTGGTCTTGCAGAATGAGAAGCCTGAGACAGACAAGCCTGAATTCCTGAAAGGCCTTTGATGGTTCCTCCTAGAAGCTATCAAGCTACAGAAGAAAGCTCAAACTCTTCCCCTAGCCCTCAAAATTCTATCATCTGGCCCCAAGCCTCCATTCCAACCGTTCTACCACTCATGTGCTAGGACTCCGAGGTGCAGTCCAGCGAGTCCCTGGGCCTGGCCTGTGTTTTCCCACCTCTCCACCTTTGCTGTTACCACTCCTCTGCCAGGAATGCCATCTTCCCCTTTCCTCTCCCTGCTTCCACTATCTCTGCCTAACAAAACCCTACCCAACTAGCCTCTGCTAGTCCTTTATCTAACTTTTCCTTTCCCACCTTTCTCCTACCTCCCTCTACTCTTCCTTTCCTCACTTTAAGCAAGGCTACCCTCCACCTTCCATCACAAGTACTGAATGATCAAACGTAAATAGACACTCTGTTAGTCTCTGGGTCTGGTCTACAGAAGGGAATAGTGTTATGAAAAGAAGCATCACACTGCAGTACACATAGGAGGCAGCTTGGCGTTCTTATGCTATTGACCAAAGAAGGTCCTCTTCTCTTGGATAGGCCATTCTATTTGGCCAAGGGAAGATGTCTATGAAAGAGTGAAGCAGGGAGAGGAAACCCTCCCAGCCCACCGTGGCAGACAATTTAGCCCTGCGGATCAATGGGATAACAGATGTCTCAGCCTGAACTCTTTCACAGCAGAGCATTTTTCCATTCTTGTTGTGGACTTCAGTGTGAGCACTGTGAGAGCAGGAACTGAGTCTTATTCGTCTTTGGATCACTAGCACAGAGGCTAGCATTTGGATGGAGGTCACTGCTCTTATAAAAGTCACCAGTCACAACTCAGCTGCCTAGTGGTCACTTCTCAGTTCTCTTATAGGACTTGACATTGCTGAGGGCTCCCTCCCTCCTTCTTGAAACTTCTCTACCTTCTTTTCCATGTCACTGATCTCTCCAATGGCTCCTCAATATCCTTGACCTCTCCAGGGATATATGCTTGACCCTCTGGTCTTCCTATTGTACACCCTCCCCTTGAATGCTCTTATCCCCACCTGTAGCTTCATCTTTCATCTTCCACCTTATGATAAAGCTCAAATCTACTTTTATTATTTGTTTTCCCTGAGACAAGTTCTCGTGGCCAGGCACTGTGGCTCACGCCTGTAATACCAGCACTTGGGGAGGCTGAGAAAGGCGGATCACTTGAGGCTAGGAGTTCGAGACCAGCCTGGGCAACATCGTGAAACCCTATCTCTACTAAAAATACAAAAATTAGCCGGGTATGGTGGTGCACGCCTGTAACGTCAGCTATTCAGGTGGCTGAGGCAGGAGAATCACTTGAACCCGGGAGGCAGAGGTCACAGTGAGCTGAGACTAAAAAAAAAAAAAAAAAAAAAAAAAGAGAGAGAGAGAGAGAGAGACAGGGTCTTGGTCTCCCCAGATCTATTTCTGCAGCTTAGACTTCCCAGAACCTCATATTCGAATTGATGACAGAGTACTCAAACTCAATATCTTTAAAACTGACCTCATTATGTTCTTTTTTCACCCTAAACTGCCACTTCCTCCAGGATTCCCCCTCTCACTCAAGTGTACCACTATCCATTTAGTCACCCAGGTTGGAAACTGGGAACCATTAAAGATATTTGCCCTTTCTTCACCCTCTCACTAGCATTATGTTTCAAAGCCTAACAATTCTATTTCTTTAATATCTTTCTTAATAATCCTCTCCTTATTTCAGGCCCTTACTATCTTTTGCCTAACCACATTTGATCTCCCTGACTCCAGTTTCTCTCTACTCTAATGATTATATCATTATAATTACTGCTACTGAGAACTTACTCTGGGCCGGTCATTTACTAAGCTATTTATGCACATTATTTCATTTAATCTTCACAACCACCATATGGAGTATGAACTATCATTATTCCTACTTTACAAATGAGAAAACTGAGGTATAGAGACATCAAGCAACTGACCCAAAGTTGACCAGGATTTGAACCCAAACTCTTAATCACTATCTACAAATGATCTTCCTAAAACATAAATATGATTGTGTCATTCTCTTGATTTAAAGCCTCCAAGAGTTCAAGACCAGCCTGGGCAACGAAGCCACACCCCATCTCCACATAAAAATTTTTTTTAATTAGTTGGGTGTGGTGGTGTGTGCCTGTAGTCCCAGCTACTTGGGAGGCTGAGGTAAGAGGATTGCTTGACCTCAGGAATTCAAGGCTGCAGTGCGCTATGATTGTGCCACTACACTCCAATCTGGGCAAAATAGCGAGACCCTGTCTCAAAATAAAATAAAATAATAAAATAAAGCCTCCAAGAGCCCACCCTCCGCCATGAGATGAAGCCCAAGCCCCTGAACATGGCATCTACCTCATCTCCTACTTTTCCCCTCCTACAGCCACATTCAGTCACGTACAATTCTCCCTAAGCTTATGTAGGAAAGAGCCATGTAAGCAGAGGGACTGAGCCTGTGTGCCCAGTGGTTAGATATGCCCCAAGCCTCACACAGGTGATAGTGGCTGATTTAGAAGGGAGCTGCCCAAATAAAATGCCTCCTCTCTTTCCTTAGGTTCACAGGATTTCTTCCATGGACCATCTAACTTCACTGCTCTATGCCGAGCATCCTTCTCCCTTCCCTCAATACTACCAACCATGATGTCTGGCCACCCTTCTGTCAGGCTAGCCTCTGCATGGGTCCCCTTACCTCATTCAAGATGCCACCTCTCTGGGCCTTTAACCCCCTTGTTCTTCTAGCACAGCTCTGGATCACCTCCTTGGCTTAGCACACTTTTGGATGATCTTTAAGTTAACACCCCTCCTAACTTGGCCCAGCCCTAAGGACTGTCTTTTTCCATAAGCAGCTTCCAGTGCAGCCCCACTCGGTCTGTCCTGGAACACTTGAGGAAGCCAAAGGGCAGAGAGGAAGTCCCAAAGAAGTCTGGAAAGCCGTGGAGAGGAGCTGAGAGAGAATGAGGTGGTTGGAAAGAGGCATTCTCATGTACAGCAGTGACACACCAAGGGCAGATGTTTGAAGTCTATCAACCTAGTACTATCTGCAGCGGGGTTAGGGGAGGGGAGAGAGGCAGAGACCAGTTGATTACCATCACCATCCCTAACTGTAATCTAGTGAGCACTCACTAATAGCTAGGCACCTTGCTGGGCATTGTACGGTCATTATTCCCAATCTTCACAGCCTTCCTGCAAAGTAGGTAAAACTGTTCCCCTTTTAAAGACAAGGACACTGAGAATTGTTCAGATCAAATGACATGGTCAATGGAAGGATACATTGAAAACAAAAATTCTGTCAATGTAAGAGATAATTATTATTACCACCTACTGGTCATTTACCTGCATTTAGACCTGTTTTGGTTCATGACCCCACTGAACAATGTAAGCGATCTATTTGTCCCTGAGCGTATTTTAGTGATAAATAAGGAGATAAAAAATTCTTAAGCTGTTCTCTACCATAAATATATAATATTTTAAAAATGAGTATGTGATCAGATGGAGCCATGGAACCCAAGTGTGGGCTTTGAAGTCAACCATAGCTGGGTTTGAGTCCCCACTCTGCTACCTGCTAATAGTTTTATGACCCCAGGCAAGTTAATTGTCTTCTTTGAACCTCAGTATCCTCATTTTAAAAATTGGCATTATAATGGCACCCTCAGACAATCAGAGGCTTGTTATGAGGATTAAATGAGTCAACAACACACATAAGGTGCATAGTGTGGTGCACTTTATGTGCAACTGGCCAGAGTGTGTGCCCAATAAATGATGCCTGACAGCATTACCTTCCCACTTATAGACCCTGCTCTGCTGTCAGTCACATGGGATCTGTGTGGCCCTTTGCCTTCTAGGAAGCACCTGCCTTAGGGATGACTAGATTTCAGCAGCTCACATCTCTGCTCAAGAGTTCAATGCTGAAACATGATTGTTCCTGGAAAGAGGGGCTCTTCAAAGCATGCAAACCCACAGATGCTGCATCCTCCTTCCTGGGGCCCAGGAGACTTCGTTTACCATCTCAGTTGTCTTGGTCCTTATTTTAAAACTCACTAACAGGTTTCCATTAAGCTAAATTGAAACTAAATACCTCACCAGCTTGCCGTTTCCGTTTCTAAAAGGTTAAAAGCTCTTAGTCCCAAAGGAACAGCAGCAATTCACCAACAAATCTTCCTCCAGCTACACTGAATACATTTTAAATCTCTGAGCCTAGTGCAGTGTCTAAAGCACACAGAAGGCACTCAATAAGTGTTTATAGTTGAAGAAAATATTAAAACTTTGAATAGTGGTCTATGCAGGGTAACAGGCACACATACATTGTTGTGGTAGTGCCAACTGATGCAAACTTTTTGTACCAAAGTTTGTAATGTGTACCAAAGTTTAAAATGCATATACCCCTCAACTCAATGGCTCCACTTTCTTGAGTTTTCTGATAGAAATATTCACACCTTGCCGGACACGGTGGCTCACACCTGTAATCCCAACACTTTGGGAGGCCGAGGCGGGCAGATCACAAGGTCAGAAGTTCGAGACCAGCCTGACCAACATGGTGAAACCCTGTCTCTACTAAAAATACAAAAATTAGCCGGACATGGTGGCACATGCTCGTAATCCCAGCTACTCAGGAGGCTGAGGCAGGAGAATCACTTGAACCCGGGAGGCGGAGGTTGCAGTGAGCCGAGATTGCACCACTGTACTCCAGCCTGGGTGACAGAGGGAGACTCTGTCTCAAAAAAAAAAAAAAAAAAAGGAAAAAAAAAAAAGAAATAGTCACAACTCAGGCTGGGTGCAGTGGCTCATGCCTGTACTCCCAGCATTTTGGGAGGCCAAGGCAGGAGGAGCACTTGAGTCCAGGGGTTCAAGACCAGCCTGGGCAACATAGTGAGACTTCATCTCTACAAAAAAATAAACAAAATTAGCCAGGCGTGGTGTTGCATGCCTGTAGTCCCAGCTACTCAGAAGGGTGAGGTGGGAGGATCCCTTGAGCCCGGGAGGTAGAGGCTGCAGTAAGCTGAGACTGAGCCACTGCATTCCAGCCTGGGTGACAGAGCAAATCCCTGTCTCAAAAAAAGAAAAGAAAAAAAAAAGAAATAGTCACACCTGAATAAGATGTATATACAAAATTGCTTGCTTCAGCTTTATTTGTGATTTTTTAAAATGGAAAAACACAAATATTCGCCAATAGGAGTCTAGGTAAATAAATAACAAAATAATTATAGCAATTCAATGGGATGTTATGCATATTTTTAAAAGAATAACTATCGTACAATAGTAAATAACAATGTATTGGACCAGGTGTGGTGGTTTATGCCTGTAGTCCCAGTACTTTGGGAGACCTAGGCAGGAGGAATGCTTGAGTCCAGGAGTTCGAGACCAACCTGGGTGACATAGCAAGATACCCTGTCCCTACAAAAATTTTTAAAAATTAGCCAGGTGTAGTGGGGTGTACCAATAGTCTCAGCTACTTGGGAGGCTGAGGTGGGAGGATCACTTGAGCCCAGAAGGTCAAGGCTGCAGTGAGCTGTGATCACGCACTGCACTCCAGCCTGGGCACCAGAGCTAAACCCTGTCTCAAACCAACCAACCAACTAACCCACCCACGCACCAACCAACCAACCAACCAACCAATATATTGTATTCTTGAAAATTGCTAATAGGTTTTAAGTGTTCTCACCCCAAAAAATTATAAATATGCTAGGTAATGCATACGTTAATTAGCTTGATTGGCTGGGCATGGTGGCTCACACCTGTAATCCCGGCACTTTGGGAGGCCAAGGCGGGTGGATCACCTGAAGTCAGGAGCTCGAAATCAGCCTGGCCAACAGGGCGAAACCCTGTCTCTACTAAAAATACAAAAATTAGCCAGGCTGGTGGCAAGTACCTGTAATCCCAGCCACTCGGGAGGCTGAGGCAGGATAATTGCTTGAACCTAGGAGGCGGAGGTTGCAGTGAGCTGACATCGTGCCACTGCACTGCAGCCTGGGTGACAGAGCAAGACTCTGTCTCAAAATAATAATAATAATAATAATAATAATAATAATAAGCTTGATTTAGCCATTCCACAATGTATACATATTTCAAAATATGTTTTACATGATAAATATACAATTTTGTCAATTAAAAATAGTATATTGTTGAAAAAATAAAGTAGAAAGAATGAAGTAAACTTTTATGTATTGCTATGGAAAGCTCTCCAAGGCATATTGTCAAATAAAAAGGCAAGTTACAGGAATAGATGCCCCATCTGTTTACTTTAAGAATATGTGTATATGTGTATTTGCATATACATACAAAATTTCTGGAAGAATATATAGAATCTGTTGACAGTGGTTTTTGTGCATGCAGTGTGACTACAGAATTGTGGGGAAGGGGACTAATACTGTTATATACTCATCGTCATAATTTTTTTTTTTTTTTAGTCAGGGTCTTACTCCATCGCCAAGCTAGAGTGCAGCAACACAATCACGGCTCACTGCAGCTGTGACCTCCTGGGCTCAAGGGATCCTCCTGCTTCACCCTCCCAAGTAGCTAGGAATACAGGCATGTACCAACAGGCCTAGTTAATTTTTAAATCTTTTGTAGTGGCAGTGTCTCACTATGTTGCCCAGGCTGGTCTCAAACTTCTGGCCTCAAGTGATCCTTCTGCCTCAGCCTCCCAAAATGCTGGGATTAGAGACGTGAACCACTGCACCCAGCCTAATGTATTAAATGTGAATATGCATTACTTTTATAATTTCAAATGCTAATTAAGAATGTAAAAATCAACATGATAAATTTTTCTTTCCTATGAATGCAGTGTTAGCACAGTGCTCAGAATGCTGGAAAAGAGAATACAAGACCAGCCCCATTCCTCCCTGGAAACACAGGAGGGCAGAAGCCAATTATATAGGACCCTTCCCAGATAAGGCTGCAGAAGGCCAGAAAGTATCGGATTTAAAAGCTGGAGCTCTAGAGTAAGCCTTTGCTGGATACCTGCCTCTGCTACGAATTATATGTAAGACGTTGAGCAAGGCGTTTAGTCCCTAAACTTCATTTCTGCATCTGTAAGGGGGAGAAAAATATTAGTGCCCTCCTCATAGAATTGCTGTGAGTATAAAATAAAATAATGTATGAAGAGCACTAACACAGAGCCCAGCATAAAGTAAGCCCTCAAGTACTAGTGGCAATGTAGACATTTTGGCTGTCATTATTTTTATTATTCCATGCAGTCTGCCATGCAAGGCAATTGAGTTCCATTCTGAGGGCTTAGAATGAATAATTGAATAGTATGTTTTCCAGATCCCAAGAAATCTTATTAGAAAGGAGCCTGTGCATCTCAGGGTGTCACAGCAGAAGGATGACAATAAAAATACTTCCATTTATATAGCATCTTTCAGTTTACTAGACATTTTGGAGTACATTATCTTATTTGATCATTATAACAATCTTTTGTGGATGGATGTTTAATCTTGTCAATGTTTTTGTTTCTGAATCTATTGAGATGTCATCATTATAGGATTTTTTCTTCTTTATCCTGTTAATATGAAGAAATACTTTGATTTTTTTTTTTAATGGAGTCTCACACTGTAGCCCAGGCTGGAGTGCAATGGCTTGATCTTAGCTCACTCCAACCTCCGCCTCCTGGATTCAAGCAATTCTCCTTCCTCAACCTCCTGACTAGCTGGGGTTATAGGTGCCCACCACCACGCCTGGCTAATTTTTTGTATTTTTTAGTAGAGACAGTGTTTCACTAAGTTGGCCAGGCTGATCTCGAACTCCTGACCTCATGATCCGCCCACCTCGGCCTCCCAAAGTGCTGGGATTACAGGCTTGAGCCACTGTGCCTGGATGATCTTAAACTTTCCTTTTCTTTTCTTTTTTTTTTTTTTTGTGGTGGTGGTTGGGGACCAGGAGAGACAGGGTCTCACTCTGTTGCCCAGGCCAGAGTGCAGTGGCACAATCATGGCTCACTGCAGCCTTTACTTCATGGGCTTAAGCGACCCTCCCACCTCAGCCTCTCAAGTAGCTGGGACTACAGTCAAATGCCACCACACCCAGCTAATTTTTTTTTTTGGTAGAGAAGGGGTCTCACTATGTTGCCTAGTCTGGTCTCGAACTCTTGGGCTCAAGTGATCCATCCACCTCAGCCTCCCAAAGTGCTGGGATTACAGGCATGAGCCACCACACTTAGCCTTTCTTTTCTAATACAGCGTTTAAAACTATACCTTTCTATTAAGCACAATTCTAGCAGCACCTCACAATTTTTATGTTTTATTTTCATTACAATTAAAAATATTTTCTAATTTCCTTATGATTTTCTTGACCTATAGGTTATTCAGAAGTATTCTTTAATTTCTAAATACCCAGAGATTTTGAAGATATTATTTACTTCTATTTTGTTCAAACTACTCTTAATATGCTGAGATTCTTTTTTGGCAAGGATGGATGTTGAATTTGAATTAAGTTAAACTGTAAGATATTAACCTTTTGAAATGCATTTGAACTTATTTTATGTCCCAGTATATGGCTCATCCTTGTGAAAATTCTGCAGTTCTTGGGCGTAGTTTTCATTCTACTGTTCTTGAGTATAGTGTTCTATAAATGTTAATTAGGTCAAGTTGGTTAACAGCACTGTTCAGATCTACTGAGAGAATAATGTTAAAATATCAAATTATCATTATGAATATTTCTACTTCTCCCTTTAGTTCTGTCATTTTTTGATGCTTACATCTTGAAGTTCTTTTGATTCTTATATCTTGAGGCATACACTTTGTGATTTTATGTATCCCTCTTGAATTGACCCTTTGTCATTTTAAAATGTCCCCATTTATCTCTGGGAATACTTCCTGTCTTGAAGACTACTTTGTCTGATAATGATACTCATACAGATTTCTTATGCTTTCCATTTGCTTAGTTTATTTTTCCATTCTTTTATTTTCAAACATTCTATGTTTTTACATTTAAAATATATTTCTTGTAACAGGCAACATATAGTTGTTTTTTTCTTTTTCCTAGCCTGATAAACTCTGCCTCTTAATTGGAGGTCTTTACCATGTTGCTCTTTGTTTTCTAGTTTTTCTCATCTGCTTTTGTTTCTCTGTTCATCTTCTGCCTTCTTTTGTATTAACTGAAATTTTTTAGTACTCCATTTTGCTTTCTCTATTGGCTTTTCATATGTGCCTTTTTGTATTTTGTGCATGTGTGGTTGCTCTAAGGGTTACAATATGCATCCTGAACTTATCATAGTCTACTAAAAATAAATATTGTATCACTTCACACTTCACAATGTAATAATCTCATAACATGCTAATTCTATTTACCACCACTACTTCATCCTTTCCCCTATTGTTGTCACATATTTTATTTCTGTATACAGTGTAAGCCCTACTTGACAATAATGGTTTTGTTTTGTTTTTTGCTTTAAACAGTCATCTGTCTTTTAAGAAAATTAATAGAAGGGCTGGGCGCAGTGGCTCACGCCTGTAATCTCAGCACTCTGGGAGGCCGAGACAGTAGGATCACTTGAGGCCTGGAGTTTGCCATCAACCTGGCCAACATAGTGAAACGCTGTCTCTACTGAAAATACAAAAAAAATTAGCCACCATGGTGGTGAGCATCTGCAATCCCAGCTACTCAGGAGGCTGAGACAAGAGAATTGCTTGAACCTGGGAGACACAGGTTGCAGAGAGCTGAGATCACACCATTACACTCCAGCCTGGTCGACAGAGTAAGACTCTGTCTCAAACAACCAAAAACAACAACAAAAAGAAAATTAATAGAAAGAAAAAAAGTGCTGTAGTCCCAGCACTTTGGGAGGCTGAGGCAGGAGGATCACTTGATCCCAAGAATTCAAGACCAGCCTAGGCAACATAGTGAGACCCTGTCTCTATATATTAAAAAAAAAATTAGCTGGGCTTAGTGGTGCATGCCTGTGGTCCCAGCTACTTGGCAGGCTGAGGCAGGAGGATCACTTGAGCCCAGGAGGTCAAGTCTCCAGTGAGCTGTGAGCATGCCATTGCACTCCAGCCTGGGTGACAGAGTGGGACCTTGTCTCAAAAAAAAAAAAAAAAAAAAAAAGCCATTCCATTGTCTTCTGGCCTACATTGTTTATGGTGAGAAGTCAACCACAATTCATATAATTGTTTCCCTGTATGCAATTTGTCATTTTTCTTTGGCTACTTCCAAGGTTTTAGTTTTATCTTTGGTTTTCAGTAGTTTGACTATAAAAGACCTAGATGTGGTTTTATTTGTATTTATCCTGCTTGGGGCTCACTGAGTTTCTGATAGTCCTATATGTTTTCCACCAAGTTCAGAAAACTTTTGACCATTATTTCTTCAAATATTTTTTCTTCCTCTTTTTCCCTCTGGCATTCCAACTACACCCATGTTCCAAATACATATATAATATATTCCATAGCTCACAAAGGCCCTCTCTTTTATTATTATTATTTTTTAGTGGAGCCTCAGTAACAGGGCACCTGTTTTTTCTTTTTCTTTTCTCTTTTTTTTTTTGAGACAGGGTCTCACTCTGTCACCCAGACTGCTTTGCAGTGGCACAGCCGCAGCTCACTGCAGCCTTGATCTCCTGGGTTCAAGCTATCCTTCCACTTCAGCCTCCCACATAGAGGGACCACAGGGGCATACCACCACGCCTGGCTAATTTTTAAATTTTTTGTAGAGACGAGGTTTTTTTTATGTTGCCCAGGTTGGTCTCAAACTTCTGGGCTCAAGTGATCCTCCCGTCTCATCCTCCCAAAGTGCTGGGATTATAGGTATGAGCCACCATGCCCAGCCAGGCTCTCTTTTTACAAGAAAAACAAAACAAAACAAAACAAAACAAAACCTTCTTGGCCGGGCGTGGTGGCTCACGCCTGTAATCCCAGCACTTTGGGAGGCCAAGACTGGTGGATCAGGAGGTTAGGAGATCGAGACCATCCTGGCTAACATGGTGAAACCCCGTCTCTACTAAAAATACAAAAAAAAAAAAAAATTAGCCAGGCGTGGTGGCGGGCGCCTTAGTCCCAGCTACTCGGGAGGCTGAGGCAGGAGAATGGCGTGAACCTGGAAGGAGGAGCTTGCAGTGAGCCGAGATCGCGCCACTGCATTCCAGCCTGGCAGACAGAGCGAGACGCCATCTCAAAAAAAAAAAAGCCTTCTTCCTCTCTGTTCTTCAGATTAAATAATTTCCATGGATCCATCTTCACATTCAGCTGTTAGGCCTATCCAACGAATTTTTTATTTCTGATATTGTATTTTTCTACTGTTTCCATTTTTCTGCTTAGATTCTCCATCCGTGCATCCATTAAAACAATATTTCCTTTATGTCCATAAATATATTTATAACAGCTGCTTTAAAGACATTGCCTGCTAATTCCAACATCTGTGTTACTCCCTGGTACTATCATGCTCTCCTTTGGATCTACCTCTCTGAGCCATGATCAAGAAATTGTCCTTAGGCAGAGAGCAAGGGTAAATGTGTGACTCACGTTGAGTGTTTTCCTTCCCTCAGGAATCACTGTCCTATGTTGTCTATTGTCCAATACCGAAAAACATTAGTGTCATATATTGTGTCCAGGCTTACTGCTGTTTACAGTGTGAGGGAAAGTCCAGTGTAGATTTCTGCACCATGGCCAGAATATAAATCCCCTAAATCAAGGTCTTTAAGGTTATATATATACTGCATTTTATTTATTTATTTATTTTAGAGACAGGTTCTCACTCTGTTGCCCATGCTGGAGTGCAGTGGTAACAATCATAGCTCACTGGAGTCTTGAACTCTTGGGCTCAAGGGATCCTCCCGCCTCAGCCTCCTGAGTAGCTGGGACTACAGGTGCATGCAACCTGGCTAATTTGTGGTGTGTGTGTGTGTGTGTGTGTGTGTGTGTGTGTGTGTGTGTATTTGTGTAGAGATGGGGTCTTGCTGTGTTGTCCAGGCTGGTCTCAAACTCCTAGGCTCAAGTGATCCTCCTGCCTCAGCCTCCCAAAGTGCTAGGATTACAGCCATGAGCCATCATGCCTGGCCTGTGTGCTGTATTTTAAAATTCATTGCAGAAATGTGCTATTTTTAAAACCCTATAGTAAAGGCTTTTGTAAAGGACAGGACCTTTTGTAATGTAAATATCAGCCCTGAATGAAAGCATTGGACTAGAAGAAATCTGAGGCCCCTGAGGCCCCTTCCCGCACAATTCATGAGAAAGAGATTTACCAGAAACAATATGGAAGTTACTTTAGAGTAAAGCGAGTTATATCTTCCACTGGAGGAGCTGAGCAAAGAGAATACCTCCTTCTAGCTTTGGTTGCTTAAAGAGCCATAGGATCTTGTCCCTTGCTGACATTGCCTAGCATGAACAGATGAGCTAGGGTCAATCAGATTCCCTCCTTAAGAATTTGAACTAGGACTACAGGGAGAACCAGCAGTTGGATGGAGATATTCATGGAAATGTTTGTGAGGTAGAGAGGTCAGAACAGTTATGATAAGCTGGAAACAGACTAAAATTATGAGGGAGCGGAGACCATGGAAATCTGGCCAGTTGGGAAATAAGAATAAGAATGAAACATAGTTGTTAAGAGAAATAGAGAGGCTGTGAGAGATGTGGAGAAAGTAGTTGGTCCCTATACCTGTTTCAGAATTAATTGTTTTCCAATTTCAATTCTAGGTTATCTATGTACTTATAATAACCATCTGTAACTCCCCACATATATACCTTCTCCCTTCTCTCATCCTCTTTTATCTGAGGTAACTTGAGTGAGCCTCTGTTCTTTGTAACTTAAAGAGCTTAACTAAAGTAATGTGTCTTAGAGTTTGCCAGGTCTGTAAAGGGCAGAAAGAGAAGAGAAGACTTGGGCATTCCATGCAGAGGGAACAAAATAATTAACAAAGACACAGAGGCACAGAAGCAGATGACTCTCCAAGGAGCAGCAGATTATTTTGTCCATATACACTCCAGTTTGTTCCCAAATAAGATTTGAGGCTGAATACATGACACATTGAGAAAATAAGTAAATGAGCAAATGGATGTGATGTAAGAATAAAAGTAGAAAAATAAGCTTAACATTAGGGGTAGGGTCCCTACATAATTAATAGGATTAGGCTGCTTTAACTAGGATAAAGGAGGCATGAATTGCTTCTTCTGCAGGCCAAGAAAGAAAAGTTAGTGTTCAGAGTAGTGCAGTACATACCTTCCCATCACTCATTTATTCACTCATCAACTAACTCATTCAGTCATTATTCATTCATTCAGCATTTATTAAGCATCTACTATGTGCCAGGTCCTCGGATGACGGCTAAAGAGGAACCAAGATTGAGTTGGTTCTCACACCCAGGGTTCTCAATCTAGGAGGTGAGATAAATGGAGGACATAAATCCACCATACAAACCAGAATCCAGTGACTCTATGAGTAGGACAAAGCGTTGTGAGACTCAAACCAGTGAAACTAAAGTTACAACAGCTGTGTCCTTTGCTTGCTTCTTGCATACAACTCTGTCAGTGCTCAGTGACTGCAAAGATTGAACACTTGATACAAATTCCTAACTGGCAGAAAACAATTTCATGTGGCTTGCTCACAGCTGGAGCCAGAGAGTCAACATTACTCCTCAGCATCAACTTGCAGGCTGCAAAGCCCAGCAACGAGCACAGGAGCCCTCTGCCATTATTATTTGAGTACCTGGCATGTACTGAGTGCTAACAATGTGCTAGGCCCCCTAGTACACAGGGGAGGAAAACAAATTCTGGCCTCAAATGCTCACAGCTGTTTTGTAATCTGATAATTGTGCATGACAAACCTCAGACCATAACTCTGAAAATAGCATGACTATAATCATAACAAAATGGAACTGCCATTGGCAAAAATTGTTTTCTAGTTATCACTTCCAGAAGGAATTCCATTAACACAACTAGGGGAAAAGAAGAAAAAACTGTCTCAGCTTTCTGCTGCTAAACCTCAAAATTATCATCAACTGCATCCATCCCTTCTCCTGTCCTGTTACAAAGTGTGCCTCCTCCTGTCCACAACATCATCTCCTCAGAGACTTGGCTCTAGTCATTATTTAATCTTTCTCCTTTATCTTCAACTTCTCTCTCCGTTCAGGATCCTTCCCCTCAGCATTTAATATATTCAAGTCTGTCATCTTAAAAAAACAATCTTTGCCTACATAGTTCTTACTGCCTTCTTAGCTCAATTCAGTTTAGCTTTTCACTCTGAAATTGTCCTTTCCAAGGTCCCCAATAACTTCCAAGTTATTAAATCTAATAGTTATATCTTAGTGTTTATCTTCATTGACACCTTAGCAACATGCAACTTGGCTGACCATACAGTTTCACTGAAACACATTCTTCCTTTGGCTTCTGGGATATTATTTTTCCTTGTTGTCTTCTTACTTCTCTGATTACTCCTTCTTATTCTCCATTTTGGACTCTTCTTCTTCTATCCAAACCTTAAATACTGGTGGTCCCCCCAGAAGTCTTCCCTAATTCCCCCAGAATCAGAATGAAGACCCCCTACCACATGCTTCCATAGAACCCTGTGCTACTTCCCCAACCACAGTTGATCACTCATTCAACATTCATCAAGAGCTTCTGACGTCATCATGGCCACTGTTTTAGGGGCTGAGAATACAGATATAAGCAAAAACATCCACAGGCCCTGCTCCCAAGGAGCTCACAGTCTAATGGGGGAGACATACAATAATCAAATAATTACACAAATAAGTGAATAATTACAAACCGTGATGCATGCTATGGAAGAAAGGAACACAGAGCAATGAGACTATATAACAGAGGAAACTTACCCTACCTTCCATAACGGGGCAGGGGGCATTGGGGGCAGGTTGTGGGGATTGATTTGGGGGCTGAAATCTTAGGAGTGAGTACATGTGTGAGGGAGGGTGTGAAAAGCATTCCAGAAAGGGGGCAGCACATAGAACTAAGGTACAGCAATAATGGAGAAGAGTGGTACAAATTAAGGTATAGAGACCCAGGTAGGTCTCAGGCCCATTCAGGTCTCTGGAGCGATTGTCTAAAAATCTGGTCCCTATCCTAAGAGCAATGGGAAGTCACTGAAGTGTTCTGAGTGGGGGATGGCACAATCAGATTGACAGTTTGAAAAGATCACTTTTCATGCAGTGTAGAGAATGGACTGGAAAGGGCACGAGTGAATGAGGGAAGACTAGTTACTAGGCTTTTACAGCACTCTTTGGTGAGAGACGATTGTAAGCTGGGCTAGGGAGGTGGCAGTGTATATGAAAAAAAGTAGTTTAATTTGAGAGATATTTAAGAGGTAAGGGAGTAAAAGATCATATCTAGGGCTTAAGGAATATATGTGTAAGAATGACACTGAGGTCACAGGAGTGAAGCTATCTTACTTTGGACATACAGAAACACATCAACTTCCCCTACATTCTGTTCACCTCCTATCTTTTCATCTGTGGATACCAGGCCCCATCACCAGGCTCAAAATCTCTGAATCATCCAAGACTCTCTTCTGGCCTTATGCCCAACCCTGCCCACTCACTCCTACCTTAGTCACCCCTAATCTAGATCAATATTTCTAAAAGTATTGCACCATAGGAGCCTCTTGAGAGACCACAAAATGATCCAAAATGAAAGTCTTTTCTTTGGCTTTTACAGGAGAATGATGTAAAATTCCAGACTTTGATTTTTTTTTTATGGTAACCAACTGAGTTATAAAGAGGTACTAAAATTTGTTAGTCATAAACTAAAATTAGCTTTTAACTGGAGTTCACAGAAGATTCTAATTCGGTTTTCTACTAAGAAGTTTAGCTGCCAGGCAATGTTTGGCAACGCTGCAAAGCTCCTCCTGTACATGTATACATGCAGCCAGTTGGCACTCTCACAATTTTCAGGAAGGACGCTTTGCTATTGGGGCATTACCAGTGATGTTTTGAGCTGGTCATGGTTTATGGTTCCTGACATTCAAGCATTTTAATTACAAATTATGATTTATGGAGCTCCATAATGACCAATTTAATATGCCATGGGTTATTTGATTAACTCTATAGGGTAGGGGAAGGTACCTCTTTGACCTTATCTCCTGCCACATTCCCCACTCCCTTCCTTGCTGATCCAGAACATGTGTAGCAGGCTCCCATCTCAGGGACTTTATACTTGCTATGCCGTCTGTCTGGAATGCCTCCCCTATCCCCATCCCTTCACCCCACACCCTACCCCCGGGTATTGCATAGCTCTTTCATTTCCTTCAGGTCTTTGCTCATATGCCACCTCTGTAACACCTTCCCTGTCCATCCTATTTAAATGATAATCTTGTGATTCCCTGAACTTCTTAGTCTACTTCTCTGATTTAGTTTTCTTCTTGGCATCTATCACCATCTAATATACTATATATTTTACAAATTTATTTATTGCCACTTTACCTCCAACTAAAAAATAAGCTCCATGAGAGCAGGGATTTTTGTTTGTTTTGTTTCTTGCTATATCACCAATACCTAGAACAGTACCTAACACAGAGTGGGTACGATAAATAATTACTGCATGAATATTTACACATCAATATTTTTATCTCTTAGTCTCCAAAACCCATTTCTTAAGGCATGGATACTTGTGGTTCAAATTTGAATCATTCATAGCCCTACTGCCAAAGCAGATACAAACATGTACCTGGAAAACCATACTTACACAGTTACATTTCCTTGTTATAATTCCCCACAAGTCTCCCCATCCCAGCTTCACCCCTTCCCATCCTTCGAACACATTCAGATGATAATTTCCAAGAACAACTTAGGGCATTCAGAATTCATATTGAACTCATTTTCTTAGAATTTAATATATTCCAGGTATTGTGCTAGGTAGAGGGGAATCAACAATGAACAAGACAGACATGATCCTTACCATAACATAGTTTATAGTCTAGAGGGGATATCACCCTATCCTGCCTCCAGAAAGGGGACTTAATCCTTTGTAGAAGAATATGAGGGCCAAGCTTAGACCCGAAATATGAATAGGATATGAAGGAAAGATTTGGGGTAGGGTGGAGTAGACTAGTAGACACAGACAGAAAAGATTTCAAAAGCTTAGAGGAGATAAACAGTGTGAATATCACTTTCCAGGAAGTGAGGGCAGTTCAGTTTGCTGGGATTGTGGAATTTTCATAGAGAAATGGTGAGGTTTGAAGTAGGATGGGTAGCAAAGGCAAGACCATGCAGGGTGGCAAAGGCCATACCAAGCAAATTGGACTTTTGGGACTTTATCCTGAAAGCAACAAGGAACCATTAAAAGGCGACTAGTGGAGTGATATGAACAAATGGAATTTAAACTCCTCTCTATCCTCTAACAAACCCAACCCTGATCTTCCCTCACCCCTGGCAACCCAGTCCTACCTACCTCCTCCCTGAAGCCTTTCTGCTGCTCTAACCTGCAGGCTTCTCTCCCCTTCATCCCCAGGGATCCCATCCTCCTTTATCTTTTTCTGCCTGTGTTCTGTCTCCCCCATTGAACTGAATTCCCAGAGGACAGGGACAACTTCTCAAACATCTCTAGGACATCCCACACCTGATTAGCACTGACTCAAATTGGTCTTCACTGAGGCAAGAAAATGGTAAATACAACCTAGCACAACCTAACCTTTTCTCACACCCCACACGCCAATATTTACTCTGAACTAAAACAACCCTTCCCTCCATGGGGCAGTGCTGATGTGTACGGGGCCAGTTGACCCAGTTTTTTCTGCTTTCTGTCTGCTGTCACCTCTCCCTGCTCTCAGTGTAACTAGTCTCTAATGTCTCCCTAATGGGCTAGAGAAACCCATCCCCAAGCTTGTTCAAACTGCAAGTTGCTAGAAAAGACAAATTGAATCTGTAATGACAGAAAGCAGATCTGTGGTTACCTAGGCAGGCCAGGGGTGGGGCATAGGAGGTGGGATGAGGCACAGGGAACTTCTTGGGATAGAGAAAGTATCCTATATCTTGAGTGTGGTAGTGGTTTATACGTGTGTAAATTTGTTAAAATTTGTCAACACGTACAACTAAAATGGTACATTCTATTATATGTAAACCAAACCTCAATAATGTTTATTTTAAAAGCAAACTGCTGGGGCACGGGGGCTCACCCCTGTAATCCCAGCACTTTGGGAGGCCTAGGCCTGTGGATCACCTGAGGTCAGGAGTCCGAGACCAGCCTGACCAATATGGTGA
Source organism: Homo sapiens (assembly GCF_000001405.40). Lineage (NCBI taxonomy): Eukaryota > Metazoa > Chordata > Mammalia > Primates > Hominidae > Homo > Homo sapiens. The sequence continues at coordinate 34,461,171 of NC_000009.12, read as the reverse complement.
AACCCCGTCTCTACTAAAAATACAAAAATTGGCTGGGTGCGGTGGCCCACACCTGTAATCCCAGCACTTTGGGAGGCCGAGGCGGGCAGATCACGAGGTCAGGAGATCCAAGACCATCGTGGCTAACACAGTGAAACCCTGTCTCTACCAAAAATACAAAAAAATTAGCTGGGCGTGGTGGCAGGCGCCTATAGTCCCAGCTCCTTGGGAGGCTGAGGCAGGAGAATGACGTGAACCCAGGAGGCGGAGCTTGCAGTGAGCCAAGATCACACCACTGCACTCCAGCCTGGGCGACAGAGCAAGACTCCGTCTCAAAAATAAAATAAAATAAAATAATAAAAAAAAATTAGCCAGGCATGGTGGTGCATGCCTGTAATCCCAGCTACTTGGGAGGCTGAGGCAGGTCCCTTGAATCGGGGAGGTGGAGGTTGCAGTGAACCTAGATTGCGCCACTGCACTCCACCCTGGGTGACAAGAGTGAAACTCCGTCTCAAAAATAAAAAATACAAAAATAAAAAATAAATAAAAGCAAACTGCCTGTAAATATAGGGTCAGGAGGCTCAAACACAGTACATGAACTTCAACGTAAAGCCCAACCCCAACATAAAATTAGGGCATGTTCATATGGGACTAGCAGCTTCCCCAAGGCTGCAGAGACCTAAGAAAGTCAGGTCCATCTGCTACAGAAGCCCAGGTAAAAGAGGCAGAGGAGCAAAGGCTAACATGGAGGTGGCCAGACCAAAATATGCAAAGTCATAAGTAGCATGGAGATTGGCTCTCTAAACCTCAATGTACCTAGACTTGAGTGGGGTAAATCTGGAATAAATATATAGAAGTCCTGCTTTCCAGAGCTAGAAACTACACATTAGCCTGAGTGGTAATTCATAAAGGGTTTGGAAAAAGTTCCTGAAGGACTGAGTTGCTTCACCACAGAAGACTCCTTGGGAAACTGGGACTGCCTTGCCTTCCGTGGTGATGCTGAGGAAGAAAGCAGAACTCTGTGCTCAGTGGGTTAAGTGGGGGATGACTCGGGTTTCCTGTGAGAAGGGATGACATCTGTCCAGGTGGTAATAAGAGCATAATGTTCACATAGCTGAATGAATCATAGGAGTGGACCAGGGGCTCGCAGGGAAGAGAGAGATATGAGGCTCTAGAAATAGTTGGGGCAGAGTGTTTGGGTTGTGCACTGTGGGGGTGAGGACAGGGATGAGAAAAGGGCCTCTCTCCTCTTCCTCTTTGCCTGCCCTTTCTCTCCTCATAAATCTCCCAGCACAGAAAATAAAATCACACTCCTGCACATAGCCTGTCCTGTATTCTGTTTAGTTCTCTTGCACACCCTCTGTGGGCTCCCAAACAGCAAGAGCTGTGTTCCCACCTAGCCTGGAGCTAGGCACACAGCAAAGGGTTGGATAAAGAATGCCTTTGAGGCTGGGCGCCGTGGCTCACGCCTGTAATCCCAGCACTTCGGAAGGTCAAGGTAGGAGGATCGCTTGAGCTCAGGAGTTAGAGACGGGCCTGGGCAACATGGGGAAACCCCGTCTCTACCAAAAACACAAAATTTAGCCGGGCGTGGTGGCCTATGCCTTTGGTTCCAGCTATTCGTCAGGCTGAAGTGGGAGAATCGCTTGCACCCAGGAGGCAGAGGTTACAGAGAGCTGAGATGGCGCCACTGCATTCTAGCCTGGGCTACAGGGCGAGCCTCTGTCTCAAAAAAAAAAAAAGAAAGAAAGAAAGAAAAAGAAAAAGAAAAATTCCTTTGGGACAAGAATGTGAGAACAAGGAGGAAGGGACTCGTGGGAATGGGGATGGGGAAGTTAAGGAGAATAGACTGGTCAGAATGAGTCCATGGGGTAAAGTGAAGTGAAGAGATGGGAATGGTGGATAAAAGGAGAGAGGTAAGAAACGGTGGATTGGGGTAGTATGGGAGAGGAGGCCGGGATTAGTGGGAAAGAGTAGGACAGAGTCAGAGGTCAGTGGGAGCACTTACCAGAGGTCACGGGGGTGAGAAGGCTGGGGTCAACAGAGAAAAGATCAAGGATCAGTAGGAGAGGTATGATTAGTGGTCACTGGCGACGACGAAGGTCAGAGGTCATCAGAAGGAAGGTGTGCGTACGTTACCTGCTTATGAGGCTGTTTATGGGGAGCCTTCGCAGAAGCAGGAATCATCTCAACCCCTGGAGAGCCTACAAAACGCTCCCTCGTCTGAAGACAAAAAGTTTGTCCGTCTCCTTGACCACACACAAGAAATCTGGACTCTCTTCCACTTCAGTTACCAGTCGCAACGGTTCTTTAGGGACAGCCGTCGTTGTGGGTCCCCGTGCCCTTGCAGGATAGAATCCAACTCCCTGACGCGGTTACCCAGCAACCGACCAGCAGCCAAGGCGCAGGCGCTTCGGCGCGCCCAGCCGGCCCGGAAAGGAGGCGGGGTTGGGCGCGCGGCGAGCGAGTCTCCACTAAGCCCCGCCCCCTCAGGAATCACAGCTGGGCGGCCGCGCGCATTCGGAACTCCCGCATGTGGGTGGGGCTGGGGTCCCCAGGCACCGCCTCCTCATGAATAATGCAAGATCCGGGCGGTGTCCCGGACCCGGAAGTGGAGTTGCCGAGTCACCGCAGTGGCTGAGCTGCTGACAGGAGGCGGCAGCGGAGTAGGAGGCGAGGCAAGACCTGCGGCTCGGCCCGGCCACAGCCGCGGTAGTGCTAGGCAAGCCCACGGAGTCACGCCGGCCTCAGCCAGTCTGCGAACCTCTCGCCCCCGCCCACCCCTGCATCCGCCCGGCCCCTGCCCGCCCGAGTGGTCCGGGGAGGCCTAGTCTGCACCACCCGCCGGGCTCCTGGGGCCGCCGCCCCGCGCGGTCCTGTCGGCGTCCGCGGCCGCGCCCGGCCCCTGGCCCGCTCGCCCGCCGGCACCATGATGGAGGAGATCGACCGGTTCCAGGTGCCCACCGCGCACTCGGAGATGCAGCCGCTGGTGAGGGGGCGGGCGGCGGGCAGGCCAAGGCCGGAGGGGGCGTCGCTTGAGGGGGAGGGAGGGAATCAGGCCGGGGGGATCGTGCGGAGGGGCGCCATCGGATGGGGCAAAGAGATCCCTGAAAACGTATTGCCGGGGGACGGGGACTTGCAGGACAAGAAAACCGTGGGAGAATATGCTGGATGAGAGCAAAGGGACCTGTAAGGGCGGAGGGCACCGTCGGTGGAAGCAGGGCACCGTCGGATGGAACGGAGGGGGCACAAAGGTGCACACCGCTAGTGGAGGCCCATAGCAGGGACTGGCGAGGGAACTGCCATGGGGCACCGCCGGCGGCAGGCCCAGGGGTCTGGGATGGGAGGTGGGGAGGCGTTTAGTCCTAGAGGCCTGTGATGCTTAGGGCGGGGGAGCCGTCAGGCTAAGAGAGATTGGGAATCAGCTTTTAGAAGAGGAGGGGCTTGCCCGCCTGTCCGCTGGATATACGGACAGGAACGCTGGGCCGGGGCGAGGGACCCAGTGGGGGAAGGTGGTTGGTGCAGAACCTGGGAATTCCGTTCTCCGGTGGGGAGCGCAGGCAGACCAGGCTGGGGGCATCTAAACCGGGAAGGAGAGTGCGCGGCGACCAGATGGGGAATCGGGGTGCAGATGAGAGTGCTCGGGAACCGACGGGAGAGGAAGTGGGGTCGCGCTGGAGCTGCCTGTGCGCACTGGTTGGGAAGAGCCCCCATCATCTTAGGCCTACGTGCCTGAAGTCCTTGCTGGGCGCGGATCCTGCCGCCTGTCCGCGGTCCCGGAGTCAGGGAGGAATGATGTCATCGCTGCTGGCGCGGAGGGAATGGAAGGGGGAGGGCAACTCGGGTGCACCGAGGCTAGGCCTAAGGGAGACCATGCTTGCTGGCCACCGCCCAGGGGGCTCCCTGACCTCGCTTGTCTGTCAGGCAACCGGGTGGGAGACGTGGAGGCCTAGCCAGCTCGTATAGTGAGGGGGGAAGAGAGGGAATGTCTAGGCTGTGTTCGCTTTATCCCCCTGGAGCCTGAGCTGGAATTGGAAGGAGGCAAGGTGGGCTACAAATCCGAAAGTGTGGATGCCCCATTTCTCTGAGCTGTGCTGGCTGGAGCAGAGCTGAGTTCTCCAAGTTCTGAAGTTCTGCTTCTGTGTTAGGCAGGGTGGCCAGAAACAGGTCTACCCTTGGGCCTATAACCCCCTGGCTGACAGATGTGCTTTGTAGCTTCCTGGGCGAGTAACCTACCCATTACAGCAGCCAAGATGGGCCTCGGCAGGGACCCATCACCACCTTTTTGTCACACCTTTTGAGGGATGGTAGAGAGAATCATTAGTGGCCACTTAGCAGGAGACAAAGGCTTTTTCCCCCTTTCATGACTGCTTAGACAGTTCTAAGAGCCAAAACAAAGAAGTTTTACAGAAGCATACAATATTAAACCGGAGAGAGGTGTTGCAGGACTTTTTCCTAGCCTCATGCCATCATTGGATTATTTGGGAGCCAGAAAATCCTGGAGAGAAGTCCATCCCATGAACTTAAAGAAGGACTTTGGGCTGGCTGAAGATAATTTTCCTTTCTGAGTTCTCTTTCTAGCTAACCTGGCTTGTCAAACGAGATTGCCCTTCCAGTTCTAAGCATCTAATCAAGAATCAAAATAGAGGGTGGATGAAGGAAGAGGAGGTTCAAGTGTGTCAGGAAAAGGAAGCAATGAGTTGTTTCTTGTCACCCATCTGGGGTTCTCAAAAAGGAAGGAAATAGCTGTTCAAGGAAAGGGGAGAAGAAATAGAGCCACCAGGCTCTCAGTTGTCCTTGGTGCTTCTGTTATTGCCTGAAATTCTGAATAGTGGTTTGGCTGGGTAGAGAACTCTTGAGCTGCTTCCGGTCTGTGTGGCCCTGGAGTTGGAGAAGCATCTGTGGCAAGGAGGCACTTAGAAAAGCTCTGACTGCCTTCAGACCCCTTTAACTGCTAAAGTCACCCTTGTGCAAGAGAATACTTTTTTTTCTTTTTTTTTGAGACAGGGTCCCTCTCTGTCACCCAGGCTAGAGTGCAGTGGCACGATCTTGGCCCAATGCAACCTCCACCTCCTGGATTCAAGCGATTCTCCTACCTCAGCCTCCCAAGTAGCTGGGATTATAGGCCCCTGCCACCACGCATGGCTAATTTTTGTATTTTTAGTAGAGACAGGGTTTCGCCATGTTGGCCAGGCTGGTCTTGAATGCCTGACCTCAAGTGGTCTGCCTGCCTCGGCCTCCCAAAATGCTAGGATTACAAGAGTGAGCTGCTATGCCCGGCCTGAGAATACTTTATTGAGTTTGAGTGAGAGCCTTATGGAAATAGCAATATAGTCATCCCTCATTTGAGGGTCATAGACATTGCCCCGCTTCCTGACCTCTGTCCCCAGGTTGTATTCCAGAGGCACCTCAAAACCCTTTAAATACCCTGTGTATTGTTGAGACCAGCAGAATCTTGTGTGATGTTTCTTCAGGAGTCTTCATTTTGGGGCATAAAGAATTAAGATAGTCCAGCCTGGGAAACACAGTGAGACTCCATCTCTACAAAAATATTTAAAATTAGCTCAGCATGGTGCTGCATGCCTGTAGTACCAGCTACTCAGGAGGCCGAGGCAGGAGGATTGCTTGAGCCCAGGAGGTTGAGGCTGCAGTGAGCCGTGTGCCTACCACTACATTCCAGCCTGGGCAACAGAGCAAGACTCTGTCTCCAAAAAAAAAAAAAAAAAATCAAGATAGCATATCATAGAGGTAAAGGGCAAAAAAGAGGGCAAAGTGGCTCTTTAAGGGTATTTGGATAGGCCATAAAAACCAGGGTCCCAGGCTCAGACTTAGCTATGACCTATTTCATTTTTTTGCCATTTATTGAGACCTCTAGGAAGTCTCTCCTCCTTCCTCGATTGTTTTTCCATTTATGAGATGAAGACAAACTATCTCTTTAAAGTTTAAACAATAGCTCCTCACTCTCCCTTCTAAAGAATACCACAGAGACCTGATATCATTGATTCAGCAATTGGTTTACCAAATAATTATTGAGCATCTGCTCTGTCCCAAATATTAAACTGAGTATTAGGGATAGAGTGGTTAGCAACACAGACACAGATGTGACCCTGCCCTTGAGCCCACAGTGTGTCAAAGTTTGTTTCTCTTGCTCACTCTCTTAGTGTGATCCTCCACTGAGGGCAGAGTAGGGGCTGACTCATTAAGCCTCAAGGGAGCCAGGCAACGCTGGTGTCATCATCATTGCCCCTTTCTGGACCAAGCTGTATGGATAGAGGCTTGTCACATGGGCGCCATCATCAAATAACTCTCCCCATCCCATAGTGATGGGAAGAATCCAGAGGCCATTGCCTACTTGGAAAGATAAACTCTAGGGGGAGCACATCTTTATTTTTTTAATTATTTAATTGAAAGAGAAACTCAGGCTTGAAAAGAAGGCCTGGGGGCGTGGCAGAACTGGGAGAGAAGGCAGCCAGCAGATCTGGGTGTTTCCAAGGTGCTAATTTAAGCATTAGATCTCAGCTAGTGGGAGGAAGAGGAGGAGATCCCTGCCCTGTTATTGCTGCTGCTGTTGTCACAGCTGCATGGAGCCTCCTGTCTCTGGTGGGAGTTTGCCTGAAAGGAGTGGCTTCCCTCCTTTCCCCATCACACCAATTATTTAATTGGCCTTGTTGCAACTCAGCAGCTGAACCAGGCCTGGTCTATCCCTGAGAGCTCCCCAGGGTCTCTTCCTGTCTCCTTTATTTTTTCTCTCTCTTTTGAGACGGAGTCTCGCTCTGTTGCCCAGGCTGGAGTGCGGTGGTGTGATCTTGGCTCACTGCAACCTCTGCCTCCAGGGTTCAAGTGATTCTCCTGTCTCAGCCTCCTGAATAGCTGGGACTACAGGCGCATGCCACCACGCCCAGCTAATTTTTGTATTTTTAGTAGAGACAGGCTTTCACCATGTTGGCCAGGATGGTATCAATCTCTCGACCTCATGATCTGCCCGCTTTGGCCTCCCAAAGTGCTGGGATTACAGGCGTGAGCCACCGCACTTGGCCTCCTGTCTTCTTATGAAAGGAGTGAGAGCTCCTCTTAGAGACCTATCCACTGGACTCCATTCCTGCTGTATCTATCTTTCAGACAATCCTGAGTGTTTCTGAGCACAGATTCTCCCAAAGAAACTGCCAGGGATAGGCACATTTTGTGTGTCAGCTCTGTGTCTGAGCCATACACCTCACTGATCTAGAGAAGTTCCCAGCAGCCCAAGGCTCTCTGTTGATCAGTTGGGTTGAGTTCGGTATATTGTTTGTATGAGAAACAGGGATAGGCTCTCTGGCCCTATTGTCTGTCTGCTCAGCTTGTTGGTGCAGCCGCACAGTCTATGTCTTCTCTTCGGCTGCAATTGGAGAGGAAGAGATTTGTTTTAAGAACAAATGGAGCTTTTAAGCACTTAATTGTGTCAGGCAACACCCTGCCTCCTGTGCTCTCAGGGACCAAAGAGACTTAAAGAATGGCAAATGGCACCAGATAGGGTCTCTGCACAGCTGAAAGAAATGTTACTGTAGCGTCACTGAAACCAGGTTATCAGTTAACTCATTTGTTTAGTTCACGAGCATCTACTCAGATCAGGTACTTTAAGGATACAGGGACAAGTAAGATCTCTCCAGTGGGTGGCCAAGAGAAGGATGGGCTCAGATGGCTATAGGAAGGTTTTTAGATATATGTCAAAAAGAGTAGAGATCAATGAAGTGTCATGAGAAAGAGTGACACCCTGCTTTGGGAGAGGGTGAGGAATGCTGAGATTCTGACTCTGACTACATGAGCTTGGGAAGGAGTTTCAGACTCCTACTGCTTCCTGACACTCAGGGATGGATGGGGATGGTCAGGACGGGACATTAATTCAGTGGGTAGGCTACAGCGGCTCCTGAAAGTGGCGGAGAGAACATTATAAAGATAGCAAGTAGCCACTGTGGAAAACTGACCTATATATATTCTATGTTCTGGGCACCTTAAGTTGCCTCCTTGTGGTCAGATGACTTTTCAGTTTAAGGGTGGATTCTCCTAGTGGATCCATGTGGCTCATGACCCAGCAGTATTTCTCAGGCTCCTGGGCAGAGGCACCCTTCTTTCCTGCCCTATATTACAAACTGAGGATCAGGTTTGTTCAAGCCTGCAGCTCCTTACTACTCATCTCCTCATCAAACAAACACCAAGTAAGAACCTATTCTCTGCTAGATGTTGTTCTGGGCTCAATAGCACAGAATTTTGCTCCAGGGAGATGCACAGTCTAGAACTCAGATTGAGGCACTATAGAATAGTGAGCACTGCAAGAGAAGAACCAGGCCCAGGAGCACCAAATGAAAGCAGGAAGGGCTCTCATCGAGTGGTCAGGGAAGGCTTCATAGAGGCCCTAGGAACTGGCCATAGGAAGAGTACTAGAAGCTTGGCAAACTGACAAAATGAGGCTAAGCCAAGAAAGGGCATGGAAGAAGAAACAAAGGAGTGCATTTGGAATGAATGAAGAGTTATAATTAAGGGAATAACATGATCAAATCTGAGTTTAGGTTAGTGGTGGATGAGAGATTGGAGAAGATGAGATTGGAAGTTGGAAAACGAATACAGACCTGGGTGTAATAATTCTGCTAGGAGATAATGAAGGCCTGCAGAAGCAGAGAAACACGATGGGACAGATACACAGATACTAATAAGGTGGAATAGGCAAGATATGATATCTGTTGGGAGGCGGAATGGAGAGGTAGAGAATTAAGGATGACTCTCAAGTTTGTGGCATGGACACCTGGATGGAGGAAGAGACCATCATCACCTCGGGAAACTCAGGAGCCCATGTACCTTTTGGTCTCAGGGACTTCTTATAACAGAGAAGGCTGCTGTTTTCCTTTGCTCTACTGCTGAAGCTACATTCTTGGGGTTGTGAGGAATCCACAAGTCCTAGAAAACCAAAGGTCAGAGTGGCATTTGTCCCCCCTCTGCCTCAAAAGGGCTGCTGAGAAACACGCTCATCTGCCAGTGAATACTTCTCCCCTGCAACCTGCTTTGATGAATTCAAGAGAATTGGTGGTAGCAGCAAGGAGCCATAGTGGGTTTTGTTGTTGTTATTTTCTTTCCAGTAGCACTTTGATGAATAAAAAATAAAATCCTTTGTTGTCTGAGTGCTTTATGTTGCAGTTTCTGGCTTTGCCTTTTACCATCGTTCTAGTCAAATCTATGGGTTTTTTTCTGACTGATTGAGCTGGGCTCTTTCACTGATTCCTTCTGGAATGTATATATGTATTACTACATCACTGCAAGATGTCAAAATGGAAAAGGACACGTACTTTCCTTTTCTGAGACCAGCCTGAAAAGCTGCAGTTGGGTGGAAGCAGAGCCCAACCGTTTCTTCCAGGCAAGGTGTACCAAAGGAGCAGAATTCTGGGGTGAGATCACTCAGAGGTCACTTGGCTTCTCAGAGGTCCCAGTGTGGCCTCTGTGGGTAGGTGCTTCTGTGGTAGCTGGGGTTCAGGCTGAGTCATTCCCAGCCCCAGCTGCCTGCTGCCCTTGACTGCCTATATAGCCCAGAGTGAGCAGAAATGGAAAACAGGCTTCTTCACTCAAACCTGATTAGTCTCAGGGACCCTCTCACCTCCTTAAAAAGGCAGGTGGAGCCTCGTGTCTGGAAAGGGAACATGGGAAATTTAGCTTCTTGGGCTTAGCTGCTTCGTGCCTTCCTAGAGACCTGGGAGAACTGGTTCAGGGAGCTCCAGAGCGTGTGGAAAGGGGAGAATTGGGCTGAGGCAGATAACCAGAGGTGCTGGTTGAAGGAAGCTAGAGGTGTGGCTCAGCAGGGTCCCAAGTCATTGTTTCTTAAATAGGCTCTGATGGGAATCTGGCTTTCTGGGCAGGAGAAAGGAAGGAAGGAAGGAGGGGAACCAGCTCTGGATTTGAGTCTGCTCTGGAGTTTAGAAATTGGCACATGATCCACAGGCCTCACTGTGGGACAGCCAAATCAACTTCTGGCTGCAGGGAGGGACTCTGGAGTAGGGAAGTCATCTAGGAAAGAGGCCTGTAGCATCTGGCCTGGGAGAGAGGGTAGACACATGCCCGCAGGAGTTTCCTCCTAGGCTTTACATTCTCAGGAGAGAGTTCAAGCAAATCTGTACTTGTATTTGTTGTTATTATTGTTATTCAGAGATAGCAAATTGAGGATCGGATGGTTTGGTTATTGAAGGTCAATTTTAAGTTTCTGTGATGGCGGTGAGGTATGTGAGTGTGCATGCAAGAGGGGACATACAGCTATGAATGGTGTTTTCTGAATGACCGTTCCAGCCCTAAGTCTAAACATATGACAAGAGGCCACACCCAGGCAGAAACAAGACCAGTGACTGTGGCTCCTTGCCTGGTTTTGCCTGATTTAGCCATCAGATTCTTGGCTGTTATAAGCAGAGTACATCCCATCTATCGAGAACAATACCTGAAGGAGCATTTTAAGGTTTATTGAATTGGCCGGGCGCAGTGGCTCACGCCTGCAATCCCAGCACTTTGGGAGGCCGAGGCGGTGGATAACCAGGTCGGGAGTTCAAGAACAGCCTGGCCAAGATGTTGAAATCCCGTCCCTACTAAAAATACAAAAATTAGCCGGGCATGGTGGTGGCCACCTGTAATCCCAGCTACTCGGGAGGCTGAGGCAGAAAATTGCTTGAACCCAGGAGGTGGAGGTTGCAGTGAGCTGAGATTGTGCCACTGCACTCTATCCTGGGTGACAGAGCAAGACTCCGTCTCAAAAAAAAAAAAGATGTATTGAATTAACTACATGCAAACTGTGGAGTGAGAACCACATATATTTCACCACATAAACATAATTATGTACAAGGTATAAATTATAGTTCCCCCCACTTTTTTTTTTTTTTTGAGACAGGGTCTCTGTCACCGAGGCTGGAGTACAGTGGCTTAATCTTGGCTCACTGCAAACTCCGCCTCCCAGGCTCAAGCGATCCTCCTGCCTCAGCCTCCTGAGTAGCTGGGACTACATTCACGCGCCACCATACCCAGCTAATTTTTTGTATTTTTTGTAGAGAAGGGGTTTCGCCATGTTGCCTAGACTGGTCTCAAACTCCTGAGCTCAAGCGATCTATTCACCTTGGCCTCCCAAAGTGCTGGGATTACAGGTGTAAGCCACCACGCCCGACCTAGTTCCCATATTAATTTCCCATTTTATCCTTATGAAGGAATTGGTGAAGCCCTTGGCCACGCACCATGCACGGTTTAGACCAGCATTTCCTATAGTATTCTGTTAGGAATATTGATCCTTTGGGATGCTTCATGAGGGAAAAAGTCTCCGTAGAAAAATTTCTTTGGGAAAGACTATATGCTCTATCCCATCACAATGCCCACTGACGTTTTAAAGACTCTGAGATATCCTGCAGTAAAGGAACCTTTTCAACTTTGTTTAATTCAGTGTTTCCCAAGCTTATTTAACTATAGAACCTTTTTTCATGTTACATCTGTTAACATCTTACAGAACCAATGTGTTTCATGGGAAATACTCTTTGGAAAACTTTAGCTTAGAAATTAGTATCTGTGCTGATCCAGTCTAGATTTATAGTCTTCCTAGTTCTTTTAAATGTCTTTTATAACCCACACCATTTTGCCCTATGCTAGTTAGTGTCTAATGGGATGTTGCTGATTTGTTTCAGGGTCTGAACTTGCTATTAGTAGGAAGCTCTTGGTGAACTTTGGTTAGGTGCACAGGCAAATACCAAGTGCCTTGTTTTTCTCATAATATTTCTAAGGGAGTTTTATTTCCCTTATGTCCCTCTACCAAATGCTGGTTTGATCCTTATTTTTTTTGGACAACTTTATTGAGATATAATTTATATATTGTATACACTAGCCATTTAGTACTTTACTGTTTTTTGAGACACAGTTTCACTCTGTCTCCTACAGCCTTGACCTTCCCCAGCTCAGGTGATCCTCCCACCTCAGCCTCCCAAGTAACTAGGACTACAGGTGTGCACCACCATGCCCAGCTAATTTTTGTTTTTTTCTGGTAGAGATGGGGTTTCGCCATGTTGCCCAGGTTGGTCTCAAATTCCTGGGCTCAAGAGATCCACCTGCCATGTCCTCCCAAAGTGCTAAGATTACAGGTGTGAGCCACTGCACCCAGCTAGTACTTTACTTTTAAACCAGTGTGGCTATCCCATGGCTGAGGTTTTTTTTTTTTTTCCGATAGTTTTTGGGGAACAGGTGGTTTTTGGTTATGTGGATAAGTTCTTTGGTAGTAATTTCTGAGATTTTGGTGCACCTGTCACCCAAACAGTGTACAATGTACCCAACATGTAGTCTTTTATCCCTCATCCTTCTCCCACCCTTCCCCTGTGAGTCCCCAGAGTCCATTATATCATTCTTATGCCTTTGTGTCCTCATAGCTTAGCTCCCACCATGGCCTAGTTCTATTTCTCATTTTTACCTTGGGCTGTGCTCTATGCTTTTATGTTCTGCCAAGCAGTAGAGAAGATAAAGATAATCCAAATCTTTTATCAGGAAGAATCCCATCTCAATTGAGATTTAAGGTGAAAAGTGGATTCCCCGATTAGGGGATGTTTCAGTACTTCCTCTGCAGTATCAATAAATGTTCTCACTGTTCACAACAGCTCAAGAAACATTCCTGCATAATTATTTTATACCCTCCTACTCCACAGGCTACATAAAGCATGGATGATAAACAGGCATTACCCTTCATGCCAATGCCCCTTGATCAGTAGTTGCTGCCTGGAGCATTGTGTTAAGATGGATGCTAAGGTGGACTCCTGGTTCCATATGAAAGACTGACATGGTTTGGTTGATTTTCCATGTCTGCTATGGTCTTCAGCAGGGGGAACAACAGTTCTAGTATTCTGGTTGCCATCCCAGCGGCCCTGAATCATCATAGTTATCTTGGGCAAAGAACACAGGAAAGGGGAACTCTTGGGGATGTTAGCCAGCCAAGCAATCTGTTTCACTGAGGGGCTAAAGTCTTATCATATGGCTCCTTAAGAAATGAATAAAGGGGCCAGGTGCAGTGGCTCATGCCTGTAATCCCAGTGCTTAGAGAGGCCAAGGCGGGAGGATTGCTTAAGGCCATCAATTCGAGACCAGCCTGGGCAACATAGTGAGACCCTGTCTCTACAAAAAATTAAAAAGTAGCCAGGCATGATGATGCATGCCTGTAGTCCTAGCCATTAGGGAGGCTGAGGTGGGAGGATGGCTTGAGCCCGGGAGTTCGAGGCTGCAATGAGCTATAATTGCACTATTACACTCTAGCCTAGGCAACAAAGCAAGACCCTGTCTTAAAAAAAAAAAAATGAAGAAAACTGTTTTTTTCTACTTGATCTTCAGCACTGGTTTCTGAAGTATTGAATTAATATAAAGTTTAAAATCCTTTTGAAATAAATAGGCCAGGTGAGAGGGAGTAACCTGGACTCTGCTGAGCAGATAAGAGGGGGAAAGAAGCAGATTCAGGAAAAGATCTCATGAATTTCATATGAGTGGTTGGCCACACTTAATATGAAATTATAAGCCCTTGACCAAAGAAGCAAGAAGGAATAGGCTACAAGAAGAGACCCATAAGCCAGAAGTCACTGGCGAGGAAAGGCCCTATTATAGGTTATACAGCCTTAGCGCTCTTTTGTTTACCCAGGCTAAATAGGCCTGCTTTTTCCTTTTACCATTTCCCGGGACACTGGCTTCCAAATTCGCAGTCATCCTAGCTGCCCTAGTGGATACTTTTAGGTTTCTCACCCCTGAAACTGAACACAGAGCTGTACATGTGATCTGCACAGCACAGATTATTGTGGGACTGCCACTACCCATAATATTGATATTGTACTTCTATTATTGTCAGTTGAGCTTCCATGATCATATTTAATAACCATACCTATTGTTATATTGAACTCAGAACATATCTGGAACAGAGCAGCCCTTTCCCTTAGCAGTGTAAAATCAAGGCAAGAACCTGGAATCACATCTTGAGCTAGGCTTACTGCCAATACAGGTTAAGAGTCCACTGAGGATAGTGAGATGATGGTTCCACATTTGTTAGAAACTACACTACATGTGTGTCATGTGACTCTTATTCTCAGAAAGGTAGCTGGCTGAATTCAGCAAGACAGAATTTCAATAGGAATCTAGGGAGGCTGTGTGATTGGAGAAGGTAGGGACCTTTAAAGCGAGCTAGTGCTTGAGTGGACAGAAAGCTTAATATAAGTCCACTATATAACAAAGCTAATGTGCTGTTGGACTACATTAATAGAAGCATGGAATTCAGTTCCTAGGAGGTAATCATCCTACTCTGCCCTATTCTGTAGTGGTCATCACCATCTGAAGTCCTCCATTCTGTACTGATATCATCATTCAAGAGATTGGGTGACTAGAATAATGAAAGGAGTCAAAAGCATGTCATGTGAGAATAGTTAGAAGAACTGAGCTGTTTGGCCTATGAATAAGCAGTCTCAGAGAAAGCATTTTGAGGTTTTCAAATACCTAAAGGACTGGGATTAGGAAAGAAAAGGAGGATAGTCTTCATGTTATCTGTAGCTTCACAGGGAGAACCAGAGCCATGGTGGGAATGTGAATGTGTTCTTACCTCACATTCTCTATGGTATCAGTTCTTAAACTGGGCCAGAGGCCAGGGCACCAGGAAGACACACTGCTCTGTGCAAATGTCCTAGTCCTTCCAAAGTAGGTGCTAGGAATAATATTCTAGCAGTAAACATGGCTCTGTTATGTGTGTGTACTATAAACGTGTCCAAGAATCCACTGTGGAACTTAGCACAAGCAGCACTTTTCTAGTTTTCTGAGAATAGGTGTTTGCTAATGTTTTGTATATATCAAGGCCTGTCACAAAAGCACCATCTTCTTCATGCATCCCTTTCTATCCTTCAGTGAGATGTGAGCTCTCCATTTACCTGTCCTGTGGCCCTAATACCTTGTCATTGTGTAAAGTTTATGGGTACAGTGTCTTATCCCTATCTTTAATTCCCCCCGCCCCGCATTTTTTTTTTTTTTTTGAGACAGAGTCTCGCTCTGTTGCCCAGGCTGGAGTGCAGTGGCACAATCTTGGCTCACTGCAGCCTCTGCCTCCCAGGTTCAAGCAATTCTTCTGCCTCAGCCTTCCGAGTAGCTGAGAGTACAGGTGCACACCACCACACCCAGCTAATTTTTGTATTTTTAGTAGAGATGGTTTCACCATGTTGGCTAGGCTGGTCTTAAACTCCTGACTTCAAGTGATCTTCTTGCCTCGGACTCCCAAAGTGCTGGGATTACAGGCATGAGCCACTGCACCCAGCCTATCTTTAATTCCTTTTTAAGGTAGGTGAAAAGATGTTTCCAAAGCACCTGAACCATCTCATTAAGCAGATTAGGAAAATCATTTTGCCCACTTTATAGATCTGCAAGCAGACTCCCAGAAAGGTAAACAGGCTTAGCCACTACCCAGCTGGAGGTTGGCGTGGCCTAGATTAGACCCTCCTTCGCAACTTGGAACCCAATTAAGTTCTTCTACATCAGGCTTGAACTTCTCCACTGGCTTTTGAGGCATCTACACTAGGCTTTTACCCCTCAAAGCTGGCCATACTTGCTACCATTCAAGCCAACTTTCTTTCTAGTAAGTCCAGCCATGTCCTTCACCTTCTTTCACCTATTGGCACCTTGAGGCCTCCTCTCCTCTTAACAATTCTCTTCTGCCCATTTCACTCATACACATTCTTCAGAGATCAATATAAACTCCCATTCTTCAGAGAGCTTTCCCTGAATATTCTAGTGAGCTCTTAACCAATCCCTAAGCCTCTATAACCTCTAGCACATAATTTTATACAAATGATATTCTGGTTTAGGGTGTCCACTTTAATGTGCTGTGAGTCTTGTCACCCCAACTCCCCTTTGATCTCCTTGACAAGATAGCTTCTACCTCTAGAACTTACAGACTGGTGAAGAAGATACTTGCTCTTATGAAACAGAACTACAGAAGAATACAGCTGGCTCCTTTAAAGATGAGTAAGAGTGGAAAGGAGAGGAGGTTGGGAGGTTATTCTAAGGAGGGGAACAGCAAAGACCTAGAGGGGGATGAGTAGGTGAGAATTAGTAGAGTGGAAGCCACATGTTGGGGAATTAAGGGAGATTCAGGGGAATACAGGGATGGGACATTCATTCATTATTCAAATAACATCTTTTGAGCATCTGCTATATGCAAGACACTGAGCCAAACATAGGAAGTAAAATGATGAATAAAGCAAACATGGTACCTACCTTCATAAGCTGGCAATCCAGTAGGAGAGACAGATACTAAACAAAGTGCACAAACACAATTACCAACTATGACAAGTGATAGAAAAGGCAAGAAATGCAGTAGGAAAAGAGAGAATAATAAATTATTCTCTTGTGGATGTCAGGTAAGGCTGCTATGAGAAAGTGATGTTTGAACTCAGACCACAGGATGAGAAGGATTTTGTTCTTACAAGGAGTGACGTGCTCCTGGCTCCCCAGTGGGCAGGGGTCCCTAGCTGAGTTAGCAATCTGAGTTCCTTACAAATTGGCCTTTTCCCATCTTCTCCCTTTGCAGCATTAGGTACATTTTCAGAAGTAAGGGACGTAGAATAATGTAAGAAGGCCAATCCAGCCCCTCTCCCATTGGTAGCAGAGCTGATAACTGTGCCGTCAGCTTTGTTGTGGGGGCTGGAGAAGCTATTAATGGAGTTGTAAGCTTTAATATTTAATGAGGAAAAAACTTAGTTTTGCTGATGAAGAGCTCCTACCTGAGTCTTCCAACATTATATGACCTGTACACATCCTCCTGGAAATGGAGAAAGTCTCTGGGGATCTTGGAGGAAAGGAAGAGTGCCAGCCTGGATGTCCTGTTCTTGGTGTATCAGGCATAGGTTTCTCCTTACCACAAAACCCAAATGTATAGGTCATTCTCTCTGGGGACAGACTTGCCTCTGGTGGGAAAGCCAGTAGCCACATTGGCAGGCAAATTGCAGCAGCTGGTGAAAGGGGCCTCCACTGGTTCTCCTATGAATGCCAAAGCTGTTCCCTGAGGATTTTAGCTTCCAGAAAGTCCTCTCTGCTCTCAGCTGACATGCTGCATCCAGCTCTGGCCTAGAGGACTCAGTGAAAGGCCAAGTGGGGATAATGATATGGGGAAGTGGTAGTAGCTAGTGGTTTAGGGAAGGGGAGGGAGAATTATGTGGAGTCAGGGAGGGAGACCAAGTTGAGGGTTGGTATTTAATGTAGCAGACATTGGTACCAAAGGGAACCAGTCAGAACCAAGATTTGACCATCTGTTAGCCTCCCTATCAACTTCCTGATGGAATCTCATATTTCACATCCTTCATTTGCCATGGGCTCTGATACAGCAGAGAGACAGTCACAGGAAGCTCCCACAGGAGGAATTGGTTTGAGTATGCTTGAGGGGGTGGGGAAATTAGGATAAGCCAGTGGGGGGCACGGGCCTGAGGGCAGGAGCTGTGCACAGCAGTGGTAAGTAGGCTGGGTATATCCTAGCTACTATCACTTTTGTTATGACCTTTGGCCAGCCTCCTAACCGCTTTCAGGCATTTGTAAAATAAATAAGATCATGTATGTGAAAATGAGCTGCAAATTACTATATTATTTCTGGTCTAAGGGTTGATGATAATGAAAGGGTTGCTGATTTTCTTTTTCTGTCTGTAATTCCCAAGGGAACTTTTGTGGGAGAGAGTGAGGAGATGGGTTATTCTTCTCATCACCAAATGAGAAGAGTCTTTGGCCTCCTTGACAGGGCTGTGGTGAGGCCAGGCTGGAGAAGGACCTGCTCTGTGCTTTCACTGATCTCTGGAAGAGATTCCCATTGAGTGGGGCTGGGCTGGGGGACGTGTAGAGGGCGGCTGAGTCTGTTAGCAGAGTGGGCCTTCCTGGAGATCCCCACCATTGGTGATAGTGGAGGGTGTCCTACTGCTGTTTCGGTTCCCGAAGGTCAATTTTCAGGGCTCACGAAACATATGAAAAAGTCAACATTGCTATTATTCTCCCCAATGTCAGTGGGCTAGAGGAGGCAGATCCAGATTGCTCACTTCCTTCACATTTTTTAATGGTTTGCCCTGGAAATCTTCAAACACATACCCCCTAGTACTTGTCACCCAACTTCAACAGCTATCAACACAAGGCTAATCTTATTTCACCCATACCCCACCTACTGGATTATCTTGAATAATTTAATATTTGAATATCGATTTAATTTAATGTTTGAATATTTGAATTAAATTTAATAATTTAATATTCAAGATAATCCAGTAGGTGGGGTATGGGTGAATAATCATCTATAACATTATACTATCTCTAAAAATGATAATTTTCTACATAACTACCATTATCACACCATTACTATCTTTAACATAAATACCATTATCACCCCTAAAAATCCTTTAATTCCTTAACATCTTAAAAATTGGTTGGTTGGTTTGAATCTGGCTCACACATTGCATTTGGTTGACATGTCTCTTTTTTTTTGTTTTTTTTTTTTGAGACGGAGTCTGTCTCTGTCACCCAGGCTGGAGTGCAGTGGCGTGATCTCGGCCTACTACAACCTTTGCCTCCCAGGTTCAAGCAATTCTCCTGCCTCAGCTTCCTGAGTAGCTGGGATTACAGGCACGTGCTATCATGCCCGCCTAATTTTCATATTTTCAGTAGAGACAGAGTTTTGCCATGTTTTCCAGGCTGGTCTCAAACCCCTGACCTCAGGTGATCCACCTGCCGCAGGCTCCCGAAGTGCTGGGATTACAGGCGTGAGCCGCCATGCCTGGCCTGATATGTCTCTTTTAATCTGTAGTTTCTCCCACCATTTTTTCTTTTCTTGCAATTTATTTGTTAAAACACAAAAACAAAAACAAATAAAAAGTTCAGTCCTTTGTCCTATAGAGTTTCCCACAATCTGGATTTTGTTGACTGCATTCTTGTGTTGTTTTTTATCCTATTCTGTCTCCTGTATTTTTGCAAATTGGTAGTTAGATCTCAAGGTTTGATCAGACTTAAATTCAACTTTTTGTAAAGAATCCTTCTGAGGTGTGATGTGTATGCCACAGTTTACCTTTTGAGGTGTGATGTGTATGTATTTCATACCAGGAAGCACATAACATATGTTTATCCTATTTTTTGTGGTGTAGTTAGCCTGATCTCTCCACTATAAAAGTTGGCTAGGCATAGTGGCCTGTAATTCAGCACTTTGGGTGGCCAAGGCAGGAGGATCACTTGAGGCCAGGAGTTCGAAACCAGTCTGGGCAACATAGTGAGACCCCATCCCCATACAAAAATAATACAAAAATTAGGCATCGTGGCATGCACCTGTAGTCCTAGCTACTTGGCAGGCAGGAGGATTGCTTGAGCCCAGGAGGTCGAGGCTGCAGTGAGCCATGATCGTGCCACTGTACTCCAGCCTGGGTAACAGAGCGAGACCCTGTCTCAAAAATAAAAAATAAATAAAAGCCCCCTTCAGCCTTTCACCTAATGTTTTTACAGCCCTTGACTGTCATTGCCTTGATTCATTATTCCATCAGGAATTTCCTTCACATTTGTACAGCAAAGAACCCTGTTAATTCTCTGCCTTCATACCCCCACAGGTATCACCTGGTCTCGGGCCCTCTCTCCTTTAGGTCTGCTTCTTCCACCACTGCTCTTATCCTGTACCATCATTTGCTTCCTTATCAGCCCAAGATAGCCCTGGAGTGTCTTCAGACCACATGTATCCCACCCTGCTTCACTAAGCCCTGTGCTTCTCTGAGAGGAGGGTCCTTACTGAGTGTGTTCTCACTGGAACAGCAGTATCTCACTTCATGAAGCTCCTGCATCTGCTCTCTGAATCTTCCTAGGACTATGCTTGACTCATACTAGGGAGTAGAAGCAACTGTGGTCTTTTCCTCCTCTGGGAGAGAGTTCAGCAAGGGCTGGGTTTATTTTTGCTTCCCACAGATTTCTTAGCAGCCTTCTTCTATGCTGAGGAGGGTCTTACTTGTTTCCTGAGCTTCCTGCCCCAGCCTGGGCTCTGGCAAGGACCCAAACCTGGTTTCCTGTTTAGCTGGGCTACAAGCCGGGAGAGGTTGGGGGAAGGGATGGGGCAGGCAATTCTAGAACTCTTAGGTCCTTTTCTCTTTCCAGCCAAGTTTAAAAACCTATGTGAGAGTCAGGTGTGGTGGCATTAAGCCTGGAGTCCCAGCTACTCGAGAGGCTCAAGGAGGATCACTTGAGCCCAGGAGTTAAAGGCTCTAAGTGCTATACGATCAGGCCTGTGAATAGCCACTGCACTCTAGCCTGGGCAACATAGTAAGATAACATTTCTTTAAAAATTTTTTTTTTTTTTTTTTGAGACCGAGTCTCACTCTGTCGCCCAGGCTGGAGGGCAGTGGCGCGATCTCGGCTCACTTGCAAGCTCCGCCTCCCGGGTTCATGCCATTCTCCTGCCTCAGCCTCCCGAGTAGCTGGGACTACAGGCGCCCGCCACCATGCCCGGCTAATTTTTTGTATTTTTAGTAGAGACGGGGTTTCACCGTGTTAGCCAGGATGGTCTCGATCTCCTGACCTCGTGATCCGCCCGCCTCGGCCTTCCAAAGTGCTGGGATTACAGGCGTGAGCCACCACGCCTGGCCAAAAATTGTTTTTTTTTATTAAGAAAAAAAAACCTGTGAGGGCTGGAACACATCACTACCTTCTGGTACTTTGGCATTTCTGTGTTGCCCCAGTATCTCCACCCCTATTGTCTCTCCTCACAGAGGAGTGTACATGTGCCCCAGACAAATACAGTACATGCACTGAGGGCACTGCAAGCCAGCTCACCAGAGAAGCACACAGAAGTTGAGAGCTGCCTCTTGCAAACCTGTACCCACCCTTAGGTCTGGTTCCCTGCCCATGGGAGTCTTCAACTTCTACTACCCAGCCTAACAGCTGTTAGTCCCCAGATAATTATGTCCAACACAATGGAGCATCTGATGGAGCAGGAAGTCTGAGAGGTGGAGGCTAGCTAGGGACCAGCTGTGCAACAGCTAGAAAACATAGGGGTCTGCAGTGACAGCTGACCACCCAGTACAGGATTCCTGATAAGAGCCTCACAGCCTTGGATACCCTGCCCACACTCCTCCTTATGTCTAGTTCTTCCTGAGGCTATGAGAATCCAGAGGGCCTCATTCTGTTTTGGGAAGGGACCTGTTGCTGATTACTTCTTTGCTCCCTTCTCCTGGGCGGTCACAGAAGGGACTGTGTGAAGCCCTATCCCTTTTATCCACATGAAAGTAAACATCAGAGGAAAGTGTCATCAAGTAGCAGGAGTGCCCCGTGTAGCCCCTTACACTTCAACGGCTTCCACTCGTTCTTATTATAAAGACTCAAATCCTTAGTATAACCCTAACATGTGATCTGGCTCCTGCCTTCCTCTTCAGCTTATCTCATATCACATTACCCCCAGTCACTACATTCAGCATCACTGGCTTTTCCTCCACTTCTCTAATGTCCCAGGCTCCCTTCTGCTTGAGGGCCTTTGCGCATAATGTTCTTGCTGCCTGGAATGCTTTTGCTGCACCTTCTACCTTTTTTTTGTTGTTGACTCCTACTCATCTTTCAGTTCTTAGTTCAGCTATAGTTTCATCACAGAGGACAATCCCTAGACTTGGTCAGTAGTCTTCCCCTTATTGCACTTTTCACATTTATAATTTTACGTAAGTATGTAAAATTAGTCTATTAACGTGGGTCCTTTTGAAGGATGTTGCATGAAACCAGATTCATTTTTACTTACCATTTGTCTCCTGTGCCTTCACATAATGGACATTCACTAAATAGCTTTTGGTTGAATGAATGAATGACTGAATGAATTGTCTTCTAGTCTCATTTACTTGGTAACCCCATGTCGTATCTGACATTCAACCATATACCCTGCAGACGTGTGTCCTACTGTTTAGAAGTGTGTCCGGAATTGGTGGGTTCTTGGTCTCACTGACTTCAAGAATAAAGCCGCGGACCCTCGCGGTGAGTGTTACAGTTCTTAAAGGCGGCGTGTCCGGAGTGTGTTCCTTCTGACGTTCAGATGTGTTCGGAGTTTCTTCCTTCTGGTGGGTTCGTGGTCTCGCTGGCTCAGGAGTGAAGCTGCAGACCTTCGCGGTGAGTGTTACAGCTCTTAAGGCAGCGCCTCTGGAGTTGTTCGTTCCTCCCGGTGGGCTCGTGGTCTCGCTGGTTTCAGGAGTGAAGCTGCAGACCTTCGCGGTGAGTGTTACACCTCATAAAAGCAGTGTGGACCCAAAGAATGAGCAGTAGCAAGATTTATTGCAAAGAGCAAAAGAACAAAGCTTCCACAGTGTGGATGGGGACCTGAGCGGGTTGCCACTGCTGGCTTGGGCAGCCTGCTTTTATTCTCTTATCTGGCCCCACCCACATCCTGCTGATTGGTAGAGCCCAGTGGTCTGTTTTGACAGGGCACTGATTGGTGCGTTTACAATCCCTGAGCTAGACACAAAGGTTCTCCAAGGCTCCACCAGAGTAGCTAGATACGCAGTGTTGATTGGTGCATTCACAAACCCTGAGCTAGACACATGCTTCTGATTGGTTTGTTTATAAACCTTGAGCTAGATACAGAGTGCCGATTGGTGTATTTACAATCCCTGAGCTAGACATAAAGGTTCTCCAAGGCCCCACCAGAGTAGATAGATACAGAGTGTCCATTGGTGCATTCACAAACCCTGAGCTAGACACAGGGTGCTGATTGGTGTAGTTACAATCCCTGAGCTAGACATAAAGGTTCTCCACCTCCCCACCAGACTCAGGAACCCAGCTGGCTTCACCCAGTGGATCCCGCACCGGTGCTGCAGGTGGAGCTGCCTGCCAGTCCCGGTGCCATGCGCCCGCACTCCTCAGCCCTTGTGTGGTCGATGGGACTGGGCGCCGTGGAGCAGGGGGTGGCGCTCATTGGGGAGGCACAGGCCTCACTGGGGAGGCTCATGGCCGCACAGGAGCCCATGGAGGGGTGGGAGGCTCAAGCATGGCGGGCTGCAGGTCCCGAGCCCTGCCCCGCAGGAAGGCAGCTAAGGCTTGGTGAGAAATCGAGCACAGCGCCCGTGGGCTGGCACTGCTGTGGGACCCAGTACACCCTCCGTAGCCACTGGCCCGGGTGCTAAGCCCCTCATTGCCCCTGGCCGGCAGGGCCAGCCGGCTGCTCCGAGTGCGGGGCCCGCCAAGCCCACGCCCACTCGGAACTCCAGGTGGCCCGCAAGCGCCACGCGCAGCCCGGGTTCCCGCTCGCGCCTCTCCCTCCACACCTCCCTGCAAGCTGAGGGAGCCGGCTCTGGCCTTGGCCAGCCCAGAAAGGGGCTCCCACGGTGCAGCGGTGGGCTGAAGGGCTCCTCAAATGCCACCAAAGTAGGAGCCCAGGCAGAGGAGGCGCTGAGAGCGACCGAGGGCTGTGAGGACTGCCAGCACGCTGTCACCTCTCAGAAGCACTTACTACTTATCTGCCACCAGACACACAGTGTTTCATTTAATCTTCTCAACTCTGCAAAGAAGGTATACCCTTAATCTACAGAGAAGGAAAGTGAGACCCAAGGTCACACAACCTAGTAAGTGGCAAAACCATTTCAAGCCCAGGTGTATGGAGTCTTTAAGGCCATGCTCTTAACTGTAACACTGCACTGCCCCCTTTTGGCATTTTGGAGCATTGTCACTAGGCCCTGGTTAATTCAACTCTTAAGTCGGTATATTCTAGAACTGAAAGCCCCAAGAAGCCACGCTTCAGTTCTAGCGCTCCACATTTGGCCCTGGCTGTGGAAGGACACTGGGGATGGAATTCAACCAGGACTCCCCAGGGTTCCAGGGTATATATGTCTCAGGGTCTCTCACCCCATCTGTTTCCATGGATCCTTTGTAGCCTCCAGATCATAACGTAGTGTCCTGTTTTAAAGAGAAGGGCCAGCTGTTGAAATGGCCTGATCCGGCAGTGTCCTGGAGAGTAAGCATGACCTGATTAAGATCCTAGTCAAGATAATTGAGAGAGAGAGAGTAGTGTTTGTCTTCTTGCAATTTCCTCATGAAAGATAGAGCCCCGGAAATTGGCTTCAAGGCTTTCCTGGGAAGTGCAAACCCATTAAGAGGGCAACGCCTCTTGCTGCTGGTTCTCATAACTCAAGTTAGTCCACATCCCAAGTTCCTTTTGGTGGCAGGGAAATTAGGACTGATGAATACTTTAGACTAGATGGAAACAAAAAGTAAATGAGGAGAGAGCAACATAAAAACAAACAAACAAAAACCAGCTACCCTTTGTTGTTCATGCCAGGCATGCTGCAAAGTGTTCTATATACATTATTTCATCTCATTCTAACACCAGCCTTGCAAAGTAGGTAATATGACACCCATGAAAGGAAAGGGACATTAAGAAAGGTAACTTGCCAAAAGTCATACAACGAGGTGGCTTGAGAACTAATCTAGGTCTTTCTAAATTCAAAACCCAAGTACTTACCACAGCCAGTTGGTGAGAGTATACATTGTCACAGCCTCTCTGGAACAATAACTGGCAACAGTGTCTCAAAATATAATGTGTACATTTCCCATTGACCCCCTCAGCTATTCTACTTCTAGGACTTTCTTAAAGAAATAGACAAACATATAAAGACTTTCTTTAATAAGAAATTATCATAGGCCAGGCTCTGTGGCTCACACCTATAATCCCAGCACTTTGGGAGGCCGAGGTGGGAGGATTGCTTGAACCCAGGAGTTTGAGACCAGTCTGGGCAACAAAGCAAGACCCCATCTCTACAAAAATTTTTTTTTAAATAGCCAGGCATGGTGGCATGTGCCTGTAGTCCCAGCTGCTTGGGAGGCTGAGGTGGGAGGATCACTTGAACCCAGGAGGTCAAGGCTGCAGTGAGCTGTGGTTGCCACTACACTCCAGCTTGAGTGACAGAGTGAGACCTTGTCTCAAAAAAAACCCAAAAAAATCCCAGAAATTATAATAATTATAAATAAATACACATACATAATTTTATAATAACATTATAATAGTTATAATAGATATTATAATAGTTATTAGTAGCTGCAACATTATAATAGTGAGAAAAAGGTGAGAAAAGAGCAATCTAGGCTGGGCACGGCAGCTCATGCCTGTAATCCCAGCACATTGGGAGGCCAAGGCAGGTAGATCACCTGAGGTCAGGAGATTGAGACCAGCCTGATCAACATGGTGAAACCCTATCTCTACTAAAAATACAAAATGAGCCAGGTGTGGTGGTGGGCACTTGTAATCCCAGCAACTTGGGAGTCTGAGGCAGGAGAATCGCTTGAACCCAGAAGGCAGGGGTTGCAGTGAGCCGAGATCATGCCATTGCACTCCAGCCTGGGTGATACAGTGAGACTCCATCTCAAAAAAAAAAGCAATCTAAACCTCCATCAGGGAGGACTGATTTAATAAATCATGGTACCTCCATCCCATAGCATACATATGGGCAGCCTTTTAAAAGGAGGATGTAAATCTAATATGAATTGACATAAAAAGATATTCATGATAGATGCATTTCATTGTGGTAAAGCGCACATAACACAAAAGTTACTGAGTAAAATACATATGGAAGATGGATCATCTGATTCCATGTATGTTTAAATTGGTATATATGATTACATATCTTTAAAGTCTGGAAGTATAAAATAAACTGGCAACAGTAATGAATTATAGGAGAACTTTCATGTTCTGTATTCACCTTTTTGCATTTGAATTTGTTATGACAAAACAGCATCACCTTTTTCTTTGAATTTTTTTCTATTTGGGGAAACAAATGGTCAAAAATCATGATCTTTGACTCTATCATTTTTTCCCAGGTGATAGAGCTCATGCTTTCCATATTTTTAAATTGGGTATGCATACCAAAAGGGGGTAAGATGAATTGAGTGTGGAAATGCTGCCAGAGACCTGTGTGTCACTTGTCTAAACAATCTTGTTCCTGCTATGCACCCCAGCTTTGACATGCCACACTTGACTCACATCTTCCCAATTCCTTCTCAAGTTCTACAGAGCCCTGTAGCTTCTAGGAGGCAGGGCATTTCTTTGGAAACAGAAAATCATCAACACTGGCCAGGCACAGTGGCTCAGGCCTGTAATCCCAGTACTTTGGGAGGCTGAGGCAGGCAGATCACTTGAGCTCAGGAGTTCAAGACCAGCCTGGCCAACATAGTGAAACCCCATCTCCACCAAAAATACAAAAAGTTAGCCAGATGTGGTGGCACATGCCTGTAGTCCCAGCTACTTGGGAGGCTGAGGCAGGAGGATCACTTGAGCCCAGGAGGTGGAGGTTACAGTGAACTGAGATCCCACCACTGCACTCCAGTCTGGGTGACAGAGTGAGACTCTGTCTCAAAAAAAAAGAAAGAAAGAAAGAAAACCATCAACATTGAGCAGATACCTTCCTGTTTCTTACTCCCTGTTGAGAGATCTCCTACAGTTCCACTTTCACCATATAAGAAAAGGAAAGCAAGGGGACAAATTTACTCTCACATTCCCCAAGGTAAAACTATGATCACTAATATTTGAATGTTCTGGATGGTTCTCTTTGGCTTCTGGCCTTCCTCCCATTAGTGTTGTCTCTTGTTGTGTTATCGTTTTCTGTATGGCCATTTTATGTGGTAAAGTAGGAAAGGGACCAGGAAACTTGGGGCCCAGTTCTGGATATGGGACTTCAGGGGAGTTACTCAGCTTTATAGGGCTTCAGATTCTTTTTCTCTGTAAAATTGAGATAAATGATAGATGGATTATCAGAGATTAAATGAAATAAAATGAGGAAAAAGCCTTGAAATTTTAAGTTGCAATATAAAAATAAATATCTATATTTTCTGAATTTAACCTTTTCTGATTTGTATTGTAAACTCTTATGTCAAGAAGCATGTCTCTAAATCTGTTTACTGTGGTATAGCAATTTAATAGGAAGATTGGAGAGATACTGAAGAATCTGGAGAGGCCACTTCATTCTTTTTTTTTTTTTTTTTTTTTTTTTTGAGACGGAGTCTAGCTCTGTTGCCCAGGCTGGAGTGCAGTGGCGCGATCTTGGCTCACTGCAAGCTCCGCCTCCCGGGTTCACGCCATTCTCCTGCCTCAGCCTCCCGAGTAGCTGGGACTACAGACGCCCGCCACCACACCCAGCTAATTTTTTGTATTTTTAGTAGAGACGGGGTTTCACCGTGTTAGCCAGGATGGTCTTGATCTCCTGACCTTGTGATCCGCCCGCCTCGGCCTCCCAAAGTGCTGGGATTACAGGCATGAGCCACCGCGCCCGGCCGAGGCCACTTCATTCTTAAAACCAACCTGAGCAACGGGGAGGGCAGAGGAGAGTCGGAGGCTTATTTCCTACTTGATTCACTTCTGTATTGTGTTACTTTCCCCATTGAATATGCATTACCTTTATAAGTTAAGGAAACCAATACAGATTTTTTTTAATGGCTTAAAATGATACAGTCAGTCTGGATATAGAAATTGGAAGTCATCTGCATAGAGGGCTGACAGTTAGGGCAAAGAGATCAAAGGATTTAGAAAGATGGCAGTTGGAGGAGCAGCCAGATTGGCAAACTGGGGTCATGTTTTTAAAACTTATTGGATGTCAGGTTGAGGAGTTTTTAAGTGGTAGGAGCTATCAGAAGGTCTTGAGCAAAGGAGTACTGCAATAAGAGCAGTGTTTAATTCTCAGAAGAGTCTTTTAACAGTAATATACAAGATGAGTTGGAGGAAGAGGAGACAAGGTGGGGAGATGAGTGGGTTACTACTGCAGTGATCCTGGAATATGCTGAGAAGGGCCTGAAGCAGGTTGTTGGCTGATAATTTTTTTTAAAGATAAACATTAGATATTCTGCAGAACCTTCTAGGTTCATGATTAGTTTCCCATAGAGATAAAGGAGGAAGAAGTAGATCAAAATGAGCCCACAGGGAGGTTAAAACAGGAGCCAACCTGAAAGTGTTCTCAATGGCCAAAGCTGGAAACATTTGAGCAACAAAACAAATATGATAATATTGGATTATAACCTCCCAAAATAAGTATACATTAATCCATACT
This sequence comes from Homo sapiens, assembly GCF_000001405.40. Taxonomy (NCBI): domain Eukaryota; kingdom Metazoa; phylum Chordata; class Mammalia; order Primates; family Hominidae; genus Homo; species Homo sapiens. The sequence goes on along the minus strand of NC_000009.12, from coordinate 34,433,152 downwards.
GATATAAATACATGATTGAATAAATAAGTAAATGGAGGAGAAAGGACAAATATTTCTTTCAGAAGGATTCCAATTTTTTATATATGAAGTGAATACAAAGACTCTCTGGACTTTCTTTGTAACTCTTCCGTAAATGCAAAATTATTTCAATAATAAGCCAGGCATAGTGGCTCATGCCTATAATCCCAGCAATTCAGGAGGTTGAGGCAGGAGGATCCCTTGAGGCCAGGAGTTCAAGACTAGTGTGGGCAACATTGTGAGACACTATCTCTTTAAATAATTTTTAAAACTAATTCAATAATTGTTTTTAAAATGATACCCCACACCGCCCCTGCCCCATTTTTGAGTTTATTTACTGGGAAAGTGTTTTGCCAATAACAAGATACAGATAGTTAAAAGGCAGAACGAGGCTGGGGGAGGAACGTGACGCCAGTGGAAATAGTACGCAGTTGGAAATGGGGTCTGGAGAGAGAGGTCAGAGCTAGAGATATGGGCTTGGGATTGTAAAGCCCAGAGAGCTGTTACTTGAAATAATATGTTTATATGAGATGCGAAGAGAGAACATGTGGAAAGAGAATCACTGACCACTGGGAAAGGCGCTTATGTCTACAGTATAAGAGGAGGGACAGTAGGAAGGGCAGTCAAAACAGATAGAGATATAATGTTTCCATGCAAGCCAAGGGAAAATAGCTTCCAGAAAAATGTGGTCAGCACTGTCCAGTGATGCCCAAGGTGGTAGAAGATCACCTGAGAAAAAGCCATTGGCTTTTAACCAGGAGCTCAGTGCTGACTGCAGGGAGAACAGTGTTAAGTAGAGCAGGTAGGAAGAGGTGAGGGTGGTGGATGTGAGAATCAAATTGCCAGGACTCACAGTGAGGAGCAGGCTTGCCTAAGCCAGGCAAATGGACTGACTGACATAAGGAGCCCCTGGAGAAGAATGGTACACCCCTGGGCACAAAGGCAGAAAGTGATGGCCAGAACAAGTGGGCAAAAGAGCTGAGGCCCAAAGCTCAAGAAGAGAGAACTTTGACCAAAAGGAAGCCCCCTGCCATCTCCTGGCTGTGGCTGCAGAATGTAGGCTGGAAGCTACAGGTACTATTATTTTCTTCATGCTAAAGATGAAACACTGAGACCCAGAGAGATTAGAAACTTACCCAGATCACACAGATAAATAAATGGCACAAATAGGACTTACTCTAAAACCAATGCTTTTAAGCACTGCACTATACTGCCTCTTACTGACACATTCACACATGCGTGCACATATGCACATGCACATACACCCAAGGACCCGGGCTGTGTGCCAGGAGGTTAACACTGGATAGCTCTAGATAGTAGGAGTAAGTTTATTTTTTTCCTTTTTCTTTTGTGCTTATCTGGACTTTTTACAGTGACTATGTATTCCTCTTTTTTAAATGTTTTTATTTTTTATTAGCTTTTCTTAGAGAGGGGGTCTCAATATGTTGCCCAGCCTGGAGTCAAACTCCTGGACTCAAGCAATCCTCCCACTTGGGCCTTCCTGGTAGCAGGGACTACAGGCATATACCACCACACCCAGCTCTCTCCTCTTGGATTTAGGAAAAGAAATAATTATTTAATTTAAGTTTTAAGTTTTGGTGCTCTTTGCCAGATTTCTGTGGTATCTATGAGGGAAACAAAGCAGGTGCATTCTGCTCAAGTGCAGACAAAAGAGACTCTACCTTCTCTGCAGCAATACAGGCTCTGCAGTGACAGGGAGGAGAATCTGGCATGCATGTATATGCGTGTGTGAGTTTGTGTGTGTGTCCGTGTGTGTGCAGCAGCTGCTGAGGGCAGGGGAGGAGCTGATGAGCTGTCTGTTGATTTATCACATGGAGAATTCCCTTCCTCCCCTATGGCCACTTTGTCCCCAAGCCAGGTCTATTTTATCCTGAGCTTCCAGAGGGACTAGGAGATATTTTTTCACACACACACCAAGATCCTCTGCCTCACCCCTTGAAAATCTGGCCAGGCAGCTAGGCTGCTGGCATGAAGCCCAGGCTGCAGCCATAGAGAGAGATTGGAGTCATGCAGGAGCTACTTCAGTTCATGCGGGCCATGGGTCCAAGCAAGCAGTTGCTATCAACAATGGGCAGAGATGAGCCAGTGGCATTTAAGATAGGCATTAACCAGCAGGCAGGGCTCTTGCCCAGAGCCTCCAAGGACTTAAGGGGAGGTGGTTCAGAACCCTGGAGAGCTCCTCCTGTTTGTGCCGGGTCTGAAAGGCCTGGATGCTGTGTCCTTAAGGCATTGTGCCCATTTAACTTATTGTTGTTGTTGTTGTTGTTATTTGGAGACATGGTCTCACTCGGGCACCCAGACTGGAGTGTAATGGCATGATCACTGCTCACTACAGCTTCCACCTCCTAGGCTCAGGTGATCCTCCCACCTCAGCCTCCCGGGTAGCTGGGACTACTGGCATGTACCACCGTGCCCAGCTAATGTTTTTTGTTGTTGTTGTTTGTTTGTTTTTTGTCTTTTTTTTTTTTTTTTTTTTTGAGACGGAGTCTTGCTCTGTCACCCAGGCTGGAGTGCAGTGGCGCGATCTCGGCTCACTGCAAGCTCCACCTCCTGGGTTCACGCCATTCTCCTGCCTCAGCCTCCTGAGTAGCTGGGACTACAAGCGCCCACCACCACACCAGGCTAATTTTTCATATTTTTAGTACAGATGGGGTTTCACCATGTTAGCCAGGATGGTCTCGGTCTCCTGACCTTGTGATCCGCCCACCTCAGCCTCCCAGCATGTGTTTTCTTTTTTTGTTTTGTTTTGTAGAGACAGGGTTTTGACATGTTGCCTAGGCTGGTCTCGAACTCCTGGGCTCAAGAGATCCACCCAACTCAGCCTCCCAGAGTGCTGGGATTACAGGGATGAGCCACTGAGCCCTACCATGCCTATTTAATTTTGCATAGCCTTCCTGCACATGTCTTTCGCTGTGAAAGGGGCATGACCTCTTCTCTTTCCAAGACCAGCCCTGTAGGTCTAGGGATTCCCCCTTATCCCCTCCAGGTGCTGCCCTACCTCCCCCCACACATGTCTAGCTCTCTGTTGAGGTCACCATCACTCTGAAGGTGAAGTAAGCTTGCAAGACAATTATGTCATCTCCCAAGCTGTCCCTGGCCAGGGCCTGATACCCTAATACTTCAGGATAGTAGGAGTCCTGGGGATGGGGTAAGAAACCAGTGGAACAAGGGAATATTAAAAGGTCCTCTGTCTCTAATACCCCTGTACTTCCCTCTTCAATCTGGACGAAGGGAGCATGAAGGAGGGGAAATTAAGGAGAGACACTGAGCAGGTTTCAAGGCCTGAAGCAGGATCCTTTCATGAGCCATCACTGGACTTTCGGCCTACCAATAGGAATATACTTAATTTAAATATGCCTTTTTTTGCAGAGGGAAGGACATTGACATGAGGTGGGTGTTGTAGCAAATGGAAGCAGAAATAAAACTAGCGAGTCTGGAGCTTGCAACCTGCCACCCCAACCCTAGTCATGCACATGGCCCCCAGAGCCCACAAGCAGAGAAGAGTTAAATTCACACTATAGAGGGACTTCCTCCCACTTCCCCAAGTCATGTGTGAGGAGTCTGAAAGGTCAGAAGAATCATAATCATATACTAGGGATTAAATTTTCTGGTTGAAAGTTCCTCCTCTACCTACAGGTCTCTTCCATGGCTAAATGAATCAGAGCAGCTCTCACTTTATGATTCCCTGAGCTGGTGAGTGAGGAGGGTAAGTCTGCCTGGATTGAGGCTCAATGAAAACACTCAGGACCCTGTTCCTCTCAACCAGCCCTGCTCTGAATTTGTGCAAGGCCCTCTTCCTTTTGAGACCTTGTTTTCTTCACCTCTTTTAGGCTTCTGGGTCCCTTATTGAAGGAACTGTCAAGCCCAAAGGCATGCATTATACCTCAAAGAACCTCCTGGTCAAAGAAATTGATGCTAAATAATGAAACCCTGAGAGAACAGCTGCAGGCTCCCTCTTCTAGTGCCAACCAGTCATAATGAGAGGGGAGAGCAAGGAGAAGAAAAGAACTTTTGGTGTTCACTGAGCCTTGAGTACGCCTGGCAGAGTTTGGGCTAGAAGGACTAGGGCTGCCCCCAGCCCACCTCAAGAGGTGTTGCATGATAGTGCTCCTGGAGATGGGGCCGTTGACAATGTAGTAATGAATTTATGGGTGAAAAAATGTGCAGAGGATCTGGATCCAGGCTGTCCCTCAGCTTGGCCTCTCTCTTGCTCCAGGAAACAGCACATTCCAGCTTCCAGCAGAGGCCCTTACTGTGGGTTTAAGCACAGGCTCTTTTAATGCACAAGGAAGCCTGGAGAAGAAACAAGAACAGATGAGGACTTTGCCAGATCCCAAGAGGGTTTGTTTGTGTTGGGTTTTGTTCAAGTGGAACAGACCTAAACTCAGCCAGAGCTCGCTCTCAGTCTGCTCTCAGGGGCAAAGGTGCCCAGTGTTTGTCTTCCTCACAGCGGATGCTCTGTAGTAATTGTTTTATTTAGGAGCTGTGATTATGTGTCCACAAACCTTACTAAATTGAATACAATCCTGAGCATTCAGAAGAAGAAACAGTGCAGGACTCAGGGGAGGGCACAGCTGGCTGCAAACAAGGGCCCATGAATTCTAATCCCAGGGCTGCCATCTGGCATTGACCTGGGAGAACTCATTTACTCTCTACCCTGGAGGCTCTTTCTGGGATCTCAGGGCCTGAATAAAAACAGACCTAGAAGCTCAGAAAGTGAAACAACCTGTCTAGACTCTCAGAGTCAGTGCAGTTCACAGGTAAACTGTTCATAGGCCCTACTCTCTAGACAGGGGTTGTGTTTACTATTCCAGGAGGTTTCTTGCATTTTCCTTTACCATCTGTTTGCCCTTATGTCTAAATCCTGAAGAGTTTCCCTGCCTTGGGTGTTTACTGCCTGTTGAACATGGTTACAAGAACCAGGTTGTCAGAAAGCACTTTGAACAGACAGAGGATCAGAACAGCCCCACTCCTATCTCCCTCCAAAGAGTTTTCTGATGGTTTGGATTCCAAGCTGGTTTCCCATTCTTCCGAACTCAGTAACAAGAGTTGGGCCTTAATCATTTGATTGTGGAAGTATATATCTGCAAGCTAATGGCTGATCTTAGCCCTTTAGTCACAAAGAAGGCTGCATCTATCTGCTCAGTTTGTTGTTAGTCTCCATGAGAAGTTGACCTGAAATTGAGTTGCTGCTTTGGCTGTGGACCTTAAGTGAAGTTTTAACTAGGCCAAGCCTTCAGGTGAGTTGAAGGAGGGTTTGGGGGACTCCTACTTTGGCTGTTCTCCAAAATAACTTTGAGCCCCTGACCAGAGGCTTACAGTGAAGAAGTAGTCCTACAAAGAGCACAAAATGCAACATCTGTCTGTGGGACACCATTAGACAAGACTCCAGCATGGTCTGATAGGTCAGGAGTGTTTGCCACCTCTCTGTTATAGAAAGATCCTTGCTATGCCTTCAAATCAAGTAGAAGGCAGTGTTTGTCTTTTCAGATTATGGCCTTTCATTTTCTATGCCAAGCATTGGGAGGACATAGTGGAGGCAGGCATGGTCCCTACCTTCACGAACATTTATTAAACAAATTATACAAATAGTCATTTAAATAAAATTTGCTAAGTGCATGAAAGAAATGTATGGGGGAGCAGGGGCTGTGAGACTACATTATAGAAGGATCTAACTGAGCCTGGCATTTATGGGAAGCTTCTTTTAAGAGGTGATGTGTCCCAGCCTGGGCAACGTAGACTCCATGTCAACAAAAATATGTATGTATACAAAAATTAGCCAGGTGTGGTGGCGTGCACCTGTAGTCCCAGCTACTTGGGAGGCTGAGGTAGGTGGATCACTTGAGCCCAGGAGGCTGAGGCTGCAGTGAGCCGAGATTGCGCCACTGCACTCCAGCCTGGGCAACTGAGTAAGGCACTGTCTCAAAAAAACAAGAGGTGATGTGTGTCAGCTGAGGCCTGAAGGATGTAGTAAAATTTAACCAGAAGGGGAGCATGAGGTTAAAAAGGATATTGATACCCCATCAGGAGTAAAGAAGACCAGTGTGCAAACTAGTAAGCCTGGGGAAGAGTGGCACAAGATGAGGTTGGGGAGATAGAAGTAAAGGCAAGTGACTACTCCTTTGCCATCATTCTTAGCCTGGTCTGGAGAAAAAAAAAAAAAGTGCTGGTTGAGACCACCCAAACTGCTGTTCCATCTTCCTAGCAGCAGGGGCCTCACAGGAATGCTCAGGGAGAGGTGCTTCTAGCCCCAACCTGGGGATCACACAAATGGAATGGTCCTCACCTGGCAGCCCAGTTCAGAGGAGGGAGGAGGAAGAAAGACTAGGCACTCACTTTCCCTGCAATCCTCTCTCTATTTTTCCATTGCTCTGAACTGTTTATTAATACATGACAGAAGCCATTTCCCTATTTAGATGGTTCTGCTGGGAATTCCACACCACCACCATCCCTCCTGAGGCAGATTTTAAAGTCAGCTTTCAAGATTTTATACTTGGATTTCAGAAACTAAATTACATTACTACGTCCAGTGAAACGGCGCCATTGCCTGTTCCTATCTGCATGCTCCAGGCACTGTGAGGCCGATAACATCAGCATGTCAAAGCAGCTCGATCCAGACAATTTGCAGCTAGCTAGAGCTGGGCTATTGGTGGGGAAGGGGAGGATGAAAAATTATCTCAGAATCCAAAACAGCCCAGGGTGTACTATAGACTAGGATCTGGGATTTTTGGGTTCTTTCTATATACCATCATTTCTCCTATCTATAAAGATACAACTCATCTTAGCCCCACCTGGACATAACAAGGAGCTGAAAATTCCTCTCCTAAACATAGGAACAGGACAAAATCACTGATGTTTCAACATTCGGGATGTTTTCATTGGAGTGTAAAATAGAAGGGAGTGGTGGAAAGAGTGAAAGTCATTATATAAAAAATTCAGGATCCTACTGCCTGTGAAATTAGGTGTCCATATAAAAGCCAAAATACTCCTTGAATGGCTATTCTGTGCTTCTGTGAAGCCCAGATGTGAAGGCCTTATAACTAACCCTCTGACAGCCACAAGGTTGCAGAGTAGGTGAAGACAAACTATTGCTCCCCTGATAGGAACAAAGGAATTTTGGAGTTTCTAATTCTAACCAAATTTAATTGTACAGAACAAGCATTCCCTTCACAACAAAAATATTTCAGCCTATTGGGTTACTTAAAATGCACCAAATAGCATAAAACATTCATTCAACTCTAACAGCATTCACAGACCTACTTTTGTAAATAGCCAAGCACAGGCTGTTCTTTCCCAGAATATGATTTTTTTTTTAAATAATGCAGTAGGTCCGCAAGGTCAGAGTTTTGGGAAAAGTCAGTCTAACCTCATTGAGGCTGCCAGTCCTCTGCCCTCGTGTGAGCCTGGCTTTCCTGCACCTCAGTGCACTGCCCACTCACTCATAGGTGTCAGTGTTTGCATGCAGGAGACAGAAGAACAAGGATCTCCCCTTAACACTAACTGCACATTTTTCAACTTCTCCAAGCACAGTGGAGGCATGCAGGTTACTGACTACATTACTGGCTCTGAAGACTAATAATTAAGTCAAGTGATTATTTTTATTTATTCATTTGTTTATTTTATTTATTTATTTAAGACAGAGTTTTGTTCTTGTTGCCCAGGCTGGAGTGCAGTGGCACGATCTCGGCTCACTGCAACCTCCGCCTCCCAGGTTCATGAGATTCTCCTGCCTCAGCCTCCCGAGTAGCTGGGATTACAGGCACCCACCACCATGTCCAGCTAATTTTTGTATTTTTGGTAGAGACGGGGTTGCACCATGTTGGCCAGGCTGGTCTCAAACTCCTGACCTCAGGTGATCTGCCTGCCTTGGCCCCCCAAAGTGCTGGATTACAGGTATGAGCCACTGTGGGCCTCATTTGTTTATTTTTACAGAAAACTATTATTGAAGGGTTTAAATGTGAGAAAGTTTTGACTAGGCATAAGGAATAATAATAATAAAAGTGAGAAAGGGCTGGGCGCGGTGGCTCATGCCTGTAATTCCAGCACTTTGGGAGGCCGAGGGGGTAGATCGCTTGAGCTCAGGAGTCTGAGACAAGCCTGGGCAACATGGCAAAACCCCATCTCTACCAAAACTACAAAAAATTAGCTGGGTGTGGTGGTACACACCTGTAGTCCTAGTTCCTCGGGAGGCTAAGGTGGCAGGTTGCTTGAGCTGAGGTGGAGATTGCAGTGACCTGAGGTCGTGCCATTGCACTCCAGCCTGAGTGACAGAGTGAGACCCTATTTCAAAAAACAAAAAGGTGAGAAAGCATGATTACCACATAACAGAGTATAGGTTCCATGGTTGAGCCTCCCTCTGGATGTTCACTGTTGGTGGAACAAGTGTTGTGGGTTCTGGGAAAATCGCAACGCAGGCTGCTCCTCTCTGTGTTCTGGATTCTCAGGCCACTCCTGGTAGGTCCGTGTTGGCTTTGGCCCCCTGCCTCAAGGACTAGAAGTCAAGGGTCTTTGCTGCTTTTTGCCATAGCCTGGGGACGATAGGCCAAAACTAAGTCAGGGGACTCTGGTGCAGCCAGAATTTGGGGCGACTACCCACCTAACTGCTTACTATTGCCTCTAGTTTGGCCAAGCCCTGGTCAGCCTCCCTTGCCTTCAGCCCACCCCTTGCCCACACTTCCTAAAAGATAGCAAATGTGCCATGATCTCTGGACCGTGACTGGACTTTTCTACTAGAGAATGTCTCTCGGTGAGGACTTGCAAGCCTCACAAGAATCAGACCCATAATTTCTTAGAACAAAATAAGTTTTTGCTGAAATATCAGCAAGCCTGAGAACAGCATCTTGAGTCCTCCCTCATGTCTTCAAACAAGTGGCCATTCTATGCTGGTTCTTTCTCCCGGCCTCAACTATTTTCCAGTCTCTCTTGTCATACAAGAGCCCCTCTAGGACTCCGGTTCTGGTTCCTCTGTCTTACATTATTCTTCTCAAAACTCTGCCTTTCCTAGACATCCATGACTCTGATCTCTTCTTGGTTCCCTACCCCTCTGACCGTAGCTGTCAGTCTTCTGCTTACTTTTTCAATATTGGTGTTCCTTAATTTTTTTTCTCTAAGCCCTTCTTATTTATAAACATACACATATTTACACACAAAACAAAACCACAAGCCTTACTCTTATTTCTGTTTCTCCATCTTATTTGGTGGCATCACAATTCACGCAGTCACCTGAGTCAGGAGGAAACCTGGGAGTCATCCTAGCTCAAGTCTTTTCCCTCAAACCCAGATCCAGTCAGCCTTAGTGCCCCAGCGGTTTGACCTCAACATGTTTTTCTTCTCCACCTCCTTTTTTCCAACCCCACTGACACTGACTTTTTCAAGCTTTGTCACCTACTGCAATGACCTTTATCTAGCCTCCCTGCCTCCAGTTTAATCATTCCTGCCTATTCCTTGGACCTGCTCCCAGAGCAGTCAGTCTATCTAAATCTGACAATGGGCTGAAAATCCTTCAGTGGCTCCCCATTATTTCCAGGTGAAGTCCAAAACCCTGAACATATCTTACAAAGCCCTTCATGATTTTAAGTCTTCCTGTCATTCTAGACTCATCACCTGCCACTTCGTCCCCTAACATTAACATTCTAGTAAAATTGACCTGTTCTTTTTGCCTGCTCTATAGTCATGTGCATCTTTCCCACCAGTCCTTTCTCTTCTTTTTTCTTTTTGTTTGCCACTCCTTTCCTCATCTGGTTCACTAATACTTCCTATTCTTGCTTCCTCCATCAGTTTTCTTTGGAGAAGTCCTCCCTAATTCCCCAGAGTGGGATAGTTGCCTCTGTCCTGTACACATACAAACCTCTGTCATAGCACTCAGCATATGATTAAAATTATCTGCTTATTCACTTGCTTCACTCACTGGCTTATGAGCTCTTCATGGGCAGGGGCCTTATTATTGTTATTATTATTTAGAAGAAGGGGTCTCACTCTGTCGCTCTGTGCAATCATGGCTCACTACAGCCTCAACCTCCCAGGCTCAAGTGATCCTCCCACCTCAGCCTTCTGAGTAGCTAGGACTACAGACACGTGCCACCATGCCGGGCTAATTTTCTTTAATTTTTCTGTAGAAATGGAGTCCTACTATGTTGCCCAGGCTGGTCTCAAACTCCTGGGCTCAAGCAATCCTTCCACTTCGGCCTTCCAAAGTGCTGGGATTACAGGTGTGAGCCACCGCGCCCAGCCCATATTATTTTTATATGTCCAGAACCCAGCACAGTGCCTAGAATATAGATGCCCTTAAAATGTAGGACCAGAACTGAATTTGGTGGCTAAGGCCCCTTTCATCTCCTTTTCTTGCACTGCCCTCTTCTTTTGTCTCCTGGGCTCACCATTCTCAGTTTCCAACGCATTTTCTTTCTTGTTGCTTCCTGCCAGTCTCTCTCTCCATCTTGAGCTATCGACTGCTTCAGTGGCTCCAATATTTCCTTCCTGTGGAGAACTCAATTGAGCAGGAAGCTTGTGATCAGAAAGCATCCATGCTATTTTCTAAAGAGGGGCTACAAGTTTGTGTTGAGCTCCAGAGACATGATTGAACTAGGTACCAGCCTTCCAAGTGACTGCTTTGCAAGACAACAGTCCCACAGAGGTGTAAGTTCTGGTACGTTGTTAATCTCATGACTTTATCTAAGTCTCTGAGAAGGGGCTGGGGTAAGAGAGATGAGGAAATTAGATTCAAATTGCCTACCAGGTGTGACTTTGGACATATTACTTTATGCAACCTAGTTCTTCAATTTTAAAATGAAAATGATATTTGCCTTACTTGGTTTTGGGGAGGATTCAATGAAATAATATAGATAAAGCACTTAGCACCATGGCCGTACCTCTGGCAGGTATTTAAGCAACATTAACTAAATGACTGGATGAGTTTTGGAAGAACTACACCTGGGCTAAATTGTTCCGAACAACTCCCTGCCTGGATCCAGCCAGAGTTCTTAGTAGAGCTGCCTCCCCAACGTGAGCTTTGAGAAGTCCCTCCTCTTCTCTCCTCTCTTCCCAGACTATTGTTCCCTCTTGCCACTAGGAATGTAACCAGGTTAAGGTCAGGGTGGAGGGCTCTTTGAGAGGCTGTCTGGGGATGGTGTGGGCGTAGAGAGGCTGGCCTAGAGCCACACTATTCCAAGTGTGGTCGCTGTATTAACAGCATTGGTACCACCTGGGAGCTAATATGAAATGCTGACAATTCAGGTTCCAGACCTACTGAATCAGAATCTGCATTTAAATAATATGCCCAGATGATTTCTATGCACATTAATATATGAAGAAACACTGTCCTAGGGGCACAGATGGGTTCAGCAGGGGTGGAGGGTTGAGACAGTGCAGGTGTGTCAGCTGTCTAGAAGAGGTAGAGGTTGTATGGGGGTGGGGGAGGCTGTGGCAGGGGGGTGTACTCAGAGAAGAGGAAGTGTCCTCAGAGATGTGGGTTGTAGAGCTGTAGGGGGCTCTTTGGGAAATGTTGGTCATTTGCTGTTTCAGCGGCCTTTCCTATTGATGCCTGGAGTACGAGGTGGTACCCCTTCCTATTGATGCCTTGAGTATGAGTTAGCCGGTAAGTGTCACTGCACCAGCCAGGGAGTGACAGGTGGGCAGGCAAAGGCTCTCTACTGCCCTGAGCCTGCAGAGACGTTCCTGCAAGTATCCTAGGACCATCTAGCTTAGCAGTTGAGTATTGTTTTCCATGGAGATGCATAACCAGCAACTGGCTAGCCTCACCCCTAAAAACACACCCTGAGTTGGTGTTACTCTACAATCTCCCCTCCTTACCTCTGTACCCCCAGCTGGCACACACACACCCCTATAACACACACACATGAACTTTCTTCTCTTGGGAGACTCAGATGGGAGTTCATAAGTAGGGTTAACCCTCCCCTTCCCCTCTCTGACCTGCTTGACCCCAGGCTGGCCCCCAGGCCTCTATGGGCCCCTCAGCCCTGACCTCCCTGCTGCACGGAACAGGCCTTGTGAGAGTGACTGCAGGCCCTAGGCTTGGCTGGATGCAGCAAAATTTGTTTCAGCAGAGCCATTCTCTCTCTCTCTCTCTCTCTCTCTCTCTCTCTCTCACACACACACACACACATACACACACACACACACACGAGTTTCACTCTGTCACCCAGGCTGGAGTGCAGTGGTGTGATCACAGCTCACTGCAGCCTCAACTTCTCAGGCTCAAGTGATCCTCCTGCCTCAGGTTCCCAAGTAGCTGGGTCCACAAGCACATGCTACCACACCCGGCTAAGTTTTTTTTTCTTTTTTGTAGAGATGGGGTCTCACTTTGTTGCCCAGACTCGTCTTGAACTCCTGGGCTCAAGCAATCCTCCCACCTCAGCCTCCTGAAGTGCTGAGATTACAGGCTCATGAGCCACCACGCCTGGTCTTTCTCTTTCTTAAGCACTCTTAGGACAGGACTCTCAGTCCCTGATTGCCTTCTTAATAAAAACCCTTTCCAGCCACCCACCTAGAGCCTCTTGACCCTTCCTTTGGGTTATCTGTTTATCTCAATGGTAAAGGAAAAGGTCCTGCTGCAAATGACCCCCCAAAATGAGGTGGGGAGTAAGTGAGTGCCCTGTGGCAGGGTAGGAACTACATCAGCAGCAACGAAAAGTAGAGTCCTAGCCCCCAGGGCAGAGCTTCACCAGTAGTTGCTTTAAACCCTCTGCCAAAGTACCCAGTGACCAATAGCCAGGTCTCCACTTTAACCTGGCTCCTGCCCAGGCCCAATCTTGTATGTCAGAGAAGATAATATCGCTACCATTATCGCTCTCCTCTGTGCTCCTACCACCCTCCATGCATTCCTGCCTCTGCTGTTCCTCTCTCTTCCTTAAATAGGCTGATCTGTGTGCCTGTCATCTCTGCACTTTTAAATTCTTCTTGGCAAGAACCAGGGCTTGGTGTTTTTCCCTCCCCAGTGTACATTGTGCCCTCCCCCTTGTTGGGGTTCAGTGATTATCAAAGTTCTGAACAAGTGGCAAGTTCACCAATGTTTAATTATTGGGATGACAAAAAGGAAAGACTAGGAGACTGCTCTGGCTAGAGAGCTGAGCTTTAGAGCTGCAAATTATCTTTGTGGGCAAAGAGTAGTGCCTGCCAGGCATAATGGGGGTTAGAGACTTAGAACAAGCTAAAAAGGAGAGGAAGGGCAGCGACAGGAAATGCCACAGAGAGGAAAAGCTATTTGATACTAGCCCTCCAAGTCCATTGTCCATTGCAGACAAGTTGGTCCTTATTCTTCCAAGGCCAGAGGGAAGAAATCCCATAGACTCTGCCAATTACTTTGCTTTCCTGCAAATCAAGGAGCCCCAAAGATTTATGAACCAGTGCAGGCCAGGCTCAGTTCCTTGAGTAATTGAAGCTTACTAAAAAGCCTTAAGTGAGATTTGGGGCCAAGATTCAGACAAGAATCCACACGTCAATCTGGCCCAGACAAATGTCAGTGTCTGCTGGCATTTCTCCTGCTTCTGCTTCCTACCAGGTGTGGGGCTCTCAAGGAGTCTCCAACCACATGTCTTGTACTGATTCCTGGGCAGTATTCTCCTCAGTGTCTATGCCTCCTCCCTTATCTTGAAGAACTGGAATCCACATTCTAGAAGGAAACTGAAAGATCCTCTGGACTGTGCTCCCTAAAGCGCTGTTAACCTTGAACAACCTTGCCATCTTCCTGTCCTCTGGGCCCTGTCTAAGGGGCACCTCAAGTAGAAAGCCCCCAGAAACCCAACCCCAAATCCCCAGCCCCGTCCAACTCCCCTGGTCTTAGAATAATTTTCCCTCTCCTATGAAAGGCCTCATCCCCAAAAGTCTGTGTTGTCTGAATCTGAATATGAAAAGGGAAGGGACTGCCTCCTCCCCACTGCCCACCACACACCTTCTTATTTTGCTGCCTAGGTCCTGCTTCTCAATTTTTTTAAAAAAAAATTGTATTAGAATATGCATAACATAAAAGTTACCATTTTAACCATCATGGGGCTTTGTTTGTTTGTTTGTTTGTTTGTTTGTTTGAGACAGAGTCTTGCTCTATCACCCAAGTTGGAGTGCAGTGGTGCAATCTTGGCTCACTGCAACCTCTGCCTCCCAGGTTCAATAGATTCTCCTACCTCAGCCTCCTGAGTAGTTGGGGTAACAGGTGTGCAACACTACACCTGGCTAATTTTTTGTGTGTGTTTTCAGTAGAGACAGGGTTTCGCTGTGTTGTCCAGGCTGGTCTCAAACTCCTGGCCTCAAGTGATCCACCCACCTCGGCCTCCCAAAGTGCTGGGATTACAGGCATGAGCCACTGCATCTGGCCAATTTTAACCATTGTAGATCTATTTTTAAAGAACTTTGTACCTTAACTCCTTTCTCCATTAAATTAGATGATCTTTCCCTAAAGAGATTGAAATGGGGGAGGCGAGGGTGATGTGGGGTTCAAAGACCTTGTAGGTCACAAGACTTGACATAGGCCAAGACCAATGTCTTAAACTGGTCCAAATGTAAGGCAGGAGCATCCTCAACATCTGGCTAAGGGGATGAGGGCCAGGAGTAGGCCAAGCCAGTCCTCCCAGAAGGAAGTAAGCCTTCTCCACTTATGATTCTGGTGTCTACCTCCTGGGTCATGAGGCTTGGCCCTTAGGCCCTTATGCACAGGCTTCCCCCAAGCCATAGCTACAGTGATTATCCCTGAGTTGAGGTATTTATCCTATCTCCCAAATGAAGAATTTTTTATGACAGGGTTTTCTGGTGAGTGGTAATAGGAATGAATAGCAGAACATCAGTCTAAGACATCAGTCTTGTCCTAACCATGAAGAAGCAGAGCAGGATTCTAAATCATCTTTTAAAACATTCTTTGGCCCCCTGTCTCTTCATTTCAAAAACAAATCCTTTTTTTTTTTTTTTACCATCTCACTACCAGCTTCATACTTTCACCATCCTTTTCTCTCCCTGTTCCTGAGTAGCTATTTCTGAAAACTAAATAATAGGTAGGGTAATAGGAGCTGCTGCCCTAGCTGGGGTAACTCCAAAGCCATTTTGGTTAATTCTCCCACCCCACATCTAAAAGCAAGGGACACACTCTGTGAGATTTGCTTTCTGGCTCCGCAATTACCGTCACGGTTCCTACAGCTGACATGCTGGCACAGGTGAGGACTGGCTAAAGCACAGTGCCCAGTTGCCAGGCAGTGCCAGTGCTCCACTTAAAGCCCTTCCCAGTCTTCAGTGTAAGAGTCTTCCCTCCTTTTGTTCTTAATTGGTGGCCTCAAGTCAGGAGTATTTTGTCTGGCAGGTGATGCCCAGAGGAAATTCTGTTCTATGAAAGAAGATTTCCCAGAGGGAACCAGGTAAATGAGGACTGGAACAGAGCTCTCATGGAAGATAATGGGTAAATGTGATGACCTGAAATTCCCTGGCACACAGTGAAAAATAAAGCATTAAAAACCAGCTATACTCTCAGTCATGACAGGAGGCATTGTAAATTGGAACAATCCTTTGGGAAAGCATTTTGGCAATATCTATCAAGAAACTTAAAAGCACTCATGTTTTTTACTGAGTAATCTACTTTATTTAGGAAATGATCCTAAATGTAAATATATGTGGATTTCAGTGTAGCATTATCTATAATAGTGAAAAGTTGCAAACAACCTGAATGTCAAAAATAAATGAATGGTTACAAAGTTACTCTACATCCTCTCTATAGGTATTATGCAGCCATTAAACTGATAGTTACAAAAACTATGTAAGAATATAAAGCTAGGGGCTGGGAATGGTGGCTCACACCTGTAATCCCAGCACTTTGGGAGGCCGAGGCAGGAGGATCACTTGAGGCCAGGAGTTCGAGACCAGCTTGGCCAACATGGCAAAATCCTGTCTCTACTAAAAATACAAAAATTAGCCAGATATGGTTGTGCATGCCTGTAATCCCAGGTACTCAGGAGGCTGAGGCAGTGAGCCGAGATCACACCACTGCACTCCAGCCTGGGCAACCAGCCTGGGCACCAGAGCGAGACTCTGACTCCAAAAAGAAGAAGAAGGAGAAGGGGAAGGGGAAAGGGAAGGGGAAGAAGGAGGAGGGAAGAGGGAAGAAGGAAGAAGGAAGAAGGAGAAGATAAAGCTAGGTGCAGTGACATGTACCTGTAATCCCAGATACACGGGAAGCTGAAGTAGTAGGATCACTTGAGTCCAGGAGTTCAAGGCTGTAGTAAGCTATGATTGTGCCTGTGAATAGCCGCTGCACTCCATCCTGAGCAACAAGAAAGACCCTGCCTCTATTTAAAAAAAAAAAAAAAAAAAAAATGGAGAGCTGATTATGTTCTGATACTAATTTTAAAAATACAGAAATAAAAAAATCATACTTTTTTTTTTTTGAGACAGAGTCTCACTTTGTTGCCCAGGCTGAAGTCCAGTGGCATGATCTTGGCTCACTGCAACCTCTACCTCCCAGGTTCAAGTAATTCTCATGCCTCAGCACCCCACCACACCCAGCTAATTTTTATATTTTTTAGTAGAGAAGGGGTTTTGCCATGTTGGCCAGGCTGGTCTCGAACTCCTGGCCTCAAGTGATCCTCCTGCTTCGGCCTCCCAAAGTGCTGGGATTACAGGCGTGAACCACAGGGCCCAGCCACAAAATATACTATGTTCTTTAAATGTTGTTCTATGCACATGTATTAGTTGCTACTCTCTGATTACAGTAACAAAATAAAAAACCCAACTGAAGCTAAGAAAGAGAACAGACTATGAAGACACTAGGGTTTCTTTCTTTTCTCTCCGCTTCCTTCCTTCCTTCCTTCCTTCGTTCCTTCCTTCCTTCCTTCCTTCCTTCCTTCCTTCCCTCCCTCCCTCCCCCTTTCTTTCTTTCTTTCTTTCTTTCTTTCTTTCTTTCTTTCTTTCTTTCTTTCTTTCTTTCTTTCTTTCTTTCTTTTCTCTTTCTTCTCAGGATCTCACTCTGTCACTCAGGCTAGAATGCAGTGGCACAATCATAGCTCACTCCAGCCTCAACCTCCTGGGCTCAGGCAATCCTCCCACTCAGCCTTCCGAGTAGCTGGGGCTACAGGTGTGTGCCACCACACCTGGCTAATTTTTTGTCTTTTTGGAGAGTCACCTTCTTGCTATCTTGCCTAGGCTGGGTTTCTTATAATGCCTAAGCACAGCATGAAGTCAAGCTTTGGATGGGTAAGGCAGGCTCTAGAACCAGAGACTGAAACCTAGGGAGCACTCTCACCATCTCTTGTGTTTACTTCTTTCTGAACATCAGCTGTATTCTTGTTTCCCTCCCCAATGGCTCTCTCTGTTACCTAATCCACAGTCTTGAACTTTACATCTCCATTTAAGTCCCACTTCCCGATTCTGGGGGAGACTAATTTGCTCTGCCTCATCCAGGCATTTATCCAATTGGGTGGAATCACATAGAACCAGCATAGTTCCTAGAGGCTCACTCCTATGACCATGAAGATGGGAACAGCACCAACTCCCAAAGAAGGAAGGGAAGCCCCAGAGTTTTGCTGCTGTAGTATACGCAAAAGACTCACATACCGTAGAACATTATCAAGTGTTTTTCTCAAGGTGGTGAAACTAAAGGTGATTTGTTAAAATTTTAGCATGTATTACTTTATAGTAGAAAAATCTATAAAACTTTTCATAGCTACAGTTGTTACTAGGCCTGGGGGCAGTAGCACCCTCCACCATTTTGGTTGTCCCAGTGACAGATACCATTAAAGATACTAAGGCTTGGCGGTGCTTACTTTTAGTAATGAATTCTATACTAGCAGCTGTTTAAGCAGTCAGAAAATCCTCAGCTACTCCCAAGACCAGTTGGAGCTCCCAAACTCTAGCCCGAGTGTGATAATCCTTCCCATTTCTTTTTGGTGAACTTGACCATACCCCAAAATGCAAATGCTCTGCAGAAGTGTGGTGTGTGGAAAGAAAGAGTGTTTTCCCAACTGGGGCATCATAGTGAGACCCCCTCTCTAAAAAAAAAAAAAAATTTAGCCAGGCATAGTGGCTATGTGTGCTTATAGACCTAGTTACTCAGGGGGCTAAGGCAGGAGGTCACTTGAGCCCAGGAGGTCAAGGTTACAGTGAGCTGTGACAGCACCACTGCACTCCAGCTTGGATGACAGAGTGAGACCCTGTCTCTAAAAAACTAAAAGAAAAAATGACAAAGAAGGAAACAAAGAAAAGAAAGAGAAAAGATGCTTTCCTCTTCTGCATTCTACTGCCAGCTCATAGTCCAGAGCTGGAGAGTGGACACTCAGTGTGTTGACTTTATTTGAAATGGGTCTTCTTTTAGAGAAAAACTTAGAAGATTTGGGAGATTTAGACTGATAAGAGAAGACTCCCTGGGCCAGCCAGGATTCTCTGCCTTCTCTCCTAAATGTAGGCTTCACAAACTTTCTCTTCAGACTTTCTGTTCTCCCCCATTTGTAAGACCCAATAACACTTGGAGAGATCCTCTCCGTTATGTTTCCCTGATTCTCTTCCAGATCTCCCACAAAGACCTTATCCCTATAAGAAGTCTTTGTCTTTCCCTGTAAGTGGGATCCCTAAGGACCTTTTTATTTTGTTTTATTTTATTTTATTTTATTTTAAGTTCTGGGATACATGTGCAGAACGTGCAGGTTTGTTACATAGGTATACATGTGCCATGGTGGTTTGCTGCACCTATCCCCTAAGGATCTTAATATGTCCCAAAAGGACATAAGTCCTGGCCAATTGCCTGGCTCTGCAGGCAGTGCCTGGAGAAAACTTGGAGAAAGGGAGATGGGGAACAAAAACAGGAGCTACCCAACAGTGGGATTCAGAAATGGCCAATGTGTTGAGGTGTGACTTCAGGTCATACTGCAGAGTAAGAGCTGTCATTGGCCAGATAACTCATATGTTGAGGTGTGGAGTCAGAGAAGATGGGAATGCTTTAGGCTGAATGGACAGCCCTCTGCAGGGAAATAGAGCCATCTAACTAATGCATAGATTGCTACTAACTATTCTTGGACCAGAGGCAAGATTTCTACCCAACCATGAGGACTTAGTGAAGTTAAGTTATACTTGCTGGGTCTCCCTCTAAAAGTTGATACCTAAACATGCTTATTTCTACACACTGCCATGAGATGTTTTGGAATGGAATAGCCCTGAACAGGAAGACCACAGCCCCAAGTTTCTCAGCTGACCAATGGATAAATTTGTGATAAGGAACAGAGCTGGTCTTTGATGCTCTATTTTACTGTGCCCACTTGTCAGAGAGTGGCCTGAGCCACACACCTTCCCTGACTTCCCATTTCTTATCAGCACTATCCTTCCTGGCCCTGATTTCTGCTTTCTGCTTTTCTGTCTATCCTGCCTCCTGCTATTATCCAGGGAAAATAAACAGGTACAGGCACGACTTTATTCCAGAAGTAGCCTTCCAGCATTCTCCAACTCAGAACTGCCTCCCCCAATTAGCCTTAAAACTAAAGGAAAATTCTTCTGTGTTCTGTGAAGAAGGGTTAGATAGTATTGGTATGAGCGCTTTGCTTCTTCATACGTCACTCTAAATCCATTTCCATTTTCATCTTCCTAAGAATTAGTACTTGGAGGTGAGAACAGAGGTCACCTCTTCTTGGGAAGGCTGATATTGAATCATGTCTCTGCCCTGGATTATCATGTTCAGGCCACAAGACAATGGCAAGATTGTTCAGCACCACGGAGAGCGCCTTTCATCCTCGGGACTGGATCATGGCTGGGTGACAGATGAGGATTGTAGCTGAGAGCCCAGCCAGTCTGATCTCCTTCCACTCTGGCCAACTACCAAATATTCCTCTTTTTCCCAACCCCTTAGTGTTCACCTTTTTCCTTTTACTAATGAGTTTTTTTTAGGAAGGAACTCCCCTAACTTTCCACCCCCTTTCTGCCTCCATGTTATCTGATTCCCCCACCTCCCTTCCTCCTTTCCTCTCCTCACCTCACCTTCCTTACCTCCCTTCTGTTTTGTTAAGGAGACTCCCTCCCATGGTCCAAAGTTCTGGCTCCATCTGCTCATGATTCCTCAAAGACCATGCCCCCTCAAACATCTCCTTTTCTACACAGCTTCCTTCCCCTCAGTCTAGGACAGGTCTGGTATTCCCTAGCTCTAAAGGAATTCTAGAACTCTAAAGCTCTCTCTGGCTGCCACCCATTCTCATTCCTTCCCTTCTCAGTCTTGCTCTTTTAAAGAACGGCCTGTGGTCACTCTGTCTGCTTCTTCATCTCCTATTCTCTCCTAAATCCCTTGTCATCTGGGCTCTGTTTCTACTCTTCAGCTAAAATTGTGTTCACTGAGACTACCTATGACTTTCTTATTTCTAAATTTTGTCTTTATCTTATGGACCCACCTGCTTATTTGACACTGTTGATTTCTTCCACCTTGAAACTCTACTTGAATGGTTCCTAGTTCTACTCTTATTCCTCTCTGTTCCTACCCAGTCTCCTTCCTCCATTCATTATCTAAGGTTGGATATTTCCCAGAACTTCACCCTTGGTTTTTTTTTTTTTCACTCCGCTCATTCTGAGAGACTTTATTCTTCACTGTGACTTACATCACCACCAGCCCACACCCATTTTCTGAGCTCCCACACTTCAAATCCTACCAACTAGTGGTATCATCTGGGTGTCCAAAAGACACCTCAAAATTCAACCTGTTCCCAAATGAACTCATCTGATTTTTCCTTAGCAATGCAGTTGTGCCTTCTTCTGCATTTAATAACTTGTCTTAATAATTAGTACTCTTCCCAATTACCTCCAGACAGTAAACTAGGAATGTCCAGACCCTTTGTTTTACATTTTATATCAGAAGCCTGCCAATTCTACTGTTTTTTGACATCTTCCTTTCTGTTCTTTTATCTTCTGCTGCTGCTTGGTTCAGGCCCCTATTATCTCTTGCTGGCATTGTTGCAGTAGTTTCCTAATTATCCTTACCTCCAATCTCACTCCCTTCCCAGGCGTCTTGCACATGGCTATCGGAGGGTCCTTTTCCATCTCAAATCTGACCATGTTACTCCCTGCTTAAGGCTTCATTGGCTCCCCGTCATCTTCTGAGTAAAGAAAAAAATCAAAGCCCACCTTCCAGCATGATCTGAGCCCCCTCCTGACTCCACAAACTTGATTTCCTGCAACTTTTCTCCATACCTTCTGAGCTTCAACTATAGCAAAATGCCGACTATTCCTTGAATGTACTATGCTAGTTTTATGCTTCTGAGACTTTTCACATGTTCCCTGAATGTCCTTACTCCTCACTCTTAAACTAATTGGTGACCTAATGTTTTAAGATCTTTTCAAGTGTCTCCTTTGACCACCCTCCCTTTGTCCCATTCTCTCTACTTTTATATGGCTCTTGGTTACCTTTATTAATAATTATTGGGAACTTCTTAAAGATGGGACTGTTTTCTTTTCTTTCTTTCTTTCTTTTTTTTTTTTTTTTTGAGACGGAGTCTCGCTCTGTCGCCCAGGCTGGAGTGCAGGGGTGCAATCTTGGCTCACTGCAAGCTCCGCCTCCCGGGTTCTAGCCATTCTCCTGCCTCAGCCTCCCGAGTAGCTAGGACTACAGGCGCCCACCACCGTGCCTGGCTAAGTTTTTGTATTTTTAGTAGAGATGGGGTTTCACTGTGGTCTCGATCTCCTGACCTCGTGATCCACCCGCTTTGGCCTCCCAAAGTGCTAGGATTACAGGCGTGAGCCACCGTGCCCAGCCCTTTTTTTTTTATTTTTAAAGACAGGGTCTCAATATGTCAATATGTTGCGCAGACTGGACTTGAACTCCTGAGTTTAAGTGATCCTCCTGCCTCAGCCTCATGTAGCTAGGACTACAGGTGCATGCCAGCATGCCCAGCTGGGACTCTTTTCTATTTGTATTTGTGAGCCCTATCATCATTAAATAAATGAAAGAATTGTATCATGCTGGAGTGAGGGAAGAGAGGAAACAGGGTGCCCTGTGGTCAGGTCTTTCATCACCCTAAGGAGGGCACACCTTTTCTACAGATACCTTCATATATAAGCCAGGCTCCAACCTATGTGGTGTCAGGGCTACAGCTACAGGCCAGCCACTCCCAGGGCACACTGACCATGATAGTATAGGCCTCACTGAACCTATACTAATGATATCTTTACAGTTAACATGGATATAGTGCTAAGGGTATACTATGCTAAGGACTATTCTAACTGCTTTAATACATATTAACTCCTTTCATCCTCACAAGAACCCTTGAACTAGGTATTAGTGTTAGTCCCATTTATAGATGAGGAAGCTGAAACCCAGATTGTACAGCTACTAACTGGAGGAGCTGGAATTTGAACCTAGGCACTCTGGCTCCAGAGTCTGTGCTTTTAACCATTACAATCTTTCTTTCAGTCTGTGTGGCAAGGAGGATGGGATTGTGTAGATTGTCTTCCTTTAGTCAGAGCATCCCCTTGGCACTGAGAGTGAGGTCAGCCCATCCAAGCCATATGTCTGTTGCCCAGTGGAGGAGGAGTATAATTTGAATGTTGGGGAGGCAATCACATGTCTACTGGGTACTTATGAGAATCAGATAAGCTCGTGGATCTGAAGACATACATTAGGAACT
Source organism: Homo sapiens (assembly GCF_000001405.40). Lineage (NCBI taxonomy): Eukaryota > Metazoa > Chordata > Mammalia > Primates > Hominidae > Homo > Homo sapiens. Next base: position 34,410,536 of record NC_000009.12, on the reverse strand, counting down.
ACAAGACCCTCTACAAGTTTTATTTTTTGCCACCTAGAGTCCTACCAGAGTAGCCCATAAAAGTCTGCGGGTCATTCAGGAAAGCAGACTCTTCCATCTACTTATCCAGATCCTCCTTCTTAAGACTCCAGGCATGAGCCTTGAAGGTTCCACACTTTGGTTTTTTTCATTTGTTTCCCTTTTTTACCACCCAATTTTATCCTGCTTATTTGGGATCTCTTGGGTCCCAGCCTACCATTGTATTGACTGCACTACCCACAGCTCCAACAAGTGAGGCCAGCCAGCTAAAGACAGTTCATGAGTTGGTACAGCCCTGGGGCAGGGGGACAAGGGAAGAGGTTAATATGCAGACTGATGCTTGGGCCTGCAGGAATGGAGCAGCCTCCCAGAGGGCCTGTCTTTAGCTCCAAGCCCAAATCATGTTCTCTTCCCTATGTCCCTCCCTGCATGCTTTGAAAGGTTATTGACTCCATCACTGACTTTGGGTAAGACACTTCCCCTCTCGGCCCAGGTTTCCTCATTTTTAAAAAGAATGGGTGATGATATTTGTTGAAGCTGTTGATAGGTACCTATGATCTCACTATACTATTTTCTCTACTTGTTATAATTTCCACAATAAAACATTTTTAAACATTTAAAATCAAAAGATTTCAACCTTTTTTAAAAAATAGAACCTTTTCTCCAACCAAAAAGTTGCAACAGGCTGATATATAAATGAAATAAAGGTGAATCTACTCTTATTAAAGGGAAACCAGACCCACATCCTATAGCTTCCCCTTCACAGTCACTCAGGGAACACAGTTTAATGAAAATCAGTGGACCAAACTATTATAATTCTAAGGATTCTTCTGATGCTTTTGCCTTCCTCTAGCTATATTGGCTTTGCACTAGCCATTAGCCTATATATCCTGTCCCAGAAACAGTGAGGCTGGGCTATTAATCATCTCTGTAGTCTTCAGAGAATTTATTTGAAGGGTTGCAGAAACATGGGCTGCTGTTAGAGATGCATTTCAATGTCTGTCTCTGCTGAGTGTTTATTAATAATCTTGTTAATCTCCACTCTAGTTCCCGGATCTAGCTAACGCCTTCAGATGTCCTTGGGGGGCACTTTAAATTCTCCCTGATTTCTTGGAGCCAGGCACTTCCTTCTGCCTGGAGTCTTTTCTGATACTTACATTCATGAATATTTTACATTTAATCTCCCTGATTACATTGCCATGCAATGGTTGTGGTGCATTGGCTGCATTTCTAAGGGAAGACATAGAGGAAGCTCATAGTAAAGGCTTATGTTTGCAGGCACAGTGCCAGAGATCTTTGTGCTTGCCACTAAGGTGGCCTTCTGTCATGGATAGTGATGGAGGAGATGCTGAATGGTGGGCTTTGCATGGGACCCCTCAGCCTAGGGCTCTGCCCCCTGGTCAGGCCCTCCTGAATTGTGGTCCAAAGGAGCTGGCAGTTTCATCCAGGATCAAATACCATCAGGAACTGCCCAGTAGGCCTCAAGGACCACATGTGAGTCCCTGTGACCAGAGTTGCTCAACAGCTTTCTAGCCCTGTCCTTCCTGTGAAATCTACCTCCCATGTTACCATTTATACCCAGTACCTCCAGACTGAGAGAAGAAACTTTGATGAACTCATCTGCACTGAGGAGTAAAAAGTTAGCTCCAAATGTCTAACGGATTGTGTTTTTAAAAATCAGCCCCAGGGAAAGGATGGTGAGGCCTAACACTCTCATGTGATAGATGGGTTAGAAGGTTAAGGAGGAGAAGCAGGATTGAAACGCCACAGATTTAGAAGTCATCAGTGTAAAAATGCCAATCAGAACTATAGGAGACATCAGGGCTCCCCAAGGAGAGAGAGGAGGGCCAAGGGCAGGACCCTACAGAGGAGGCAAAGGGTTGTGGGAGGACAGAGAAATGATAGTCAAAGAGGCAAGAGATGAGCCAAGGGAGGAAGCCTTTTCCAAATGGATGTGGTATATGTGACATGTGACGAATGCTACCAAAAAAGTGAAGGAATGTGACTTGGGACTTAGAAATGTGCCAGTGCTGCCCTGGTAGGGTCCTATCAGCATGTTTATGGGATTTGCCCTTTAAAAAGCCTTCCCTCTGGCTGCTTTGCAGTGAGCAGTCTCTGGGGCTCACAGGAAATCCAGAGCCCAGCTGTCCCATCTCCACCTCCCTTGCAGGTAGCAGCTGCTGAGAGGCTGTTTTGGCTGCAGAGAGGCATGTCAGGGCCACTAGAGGTTTGCTTTTCCAAGGCTGTGCAGGACAGGTGCTGTCTATTAGTCTCTCAAGGAGGTTGCTGAGCCAGGGAGGATGAAGGACTTGAAGCATGGGAAGTTGCCCAAGATGCAGGCACTGCGGCACCCAGCCTCTCTGAGCAAAGCCTCCTGCCCTTCTTCTACTCAGTCAAGGCTAAGGGCTAGGGATCAAAGCAGGAGAGGGAGGCACAGGTTTTGCCCTCAGGAACTTGCAAACCACTGTGGCAACACAACCCACCCAGAGCCTTGTGCTCTGGATGGCCTGAAGGAACACAGACAAGGCCAGGATTTCCCTCTCAAACCTGCTAGACTTTTCCCTTTCCCGTTAGTGACAAGCATGTTTTCATGCCCACTGCCTCATTTTAAAGGGAACAGAAGCCACCATAATGGTTATATATCCTTCCCTTGCCAGGTCACCAGCAACCACTCAGATCCCTGGGCCTGACACTGTGGCAGCATTCTACATGCCCATCTGTCTACTCCCTGCATCCGCAAAGGCAGAACAGGCAGCAGCCTTGGATCCCCTCTGCACTCCTCGCACCTTAGGCTTAGCAATCTACAGGCCCTGGTTAAAATGCAAAGACAAGGGAAGAGGTTAATATGCAGACTGATGCTTGGGCCTGCAAGAATGGAGCAGCCTCCCAGAGGGCCTGTCTTTAACTCCAAGCCCAAATCATGTTCTCTTCCCTATGTCCCTCCCTGCATGCTTTGAAAGGTTATTGACTCCATCACTGACTTTGCGTAAGACACTTCCCCTCTCGGCCCAGGTTTCCTCATTTTTAAAAAGAATGGGTGATAAGTTGATATTTGTTGAAGCTGTTGATAGGTACCTATGATCTCACTATACTGTTTTCTCTACTTGTTATAATTTCCATAATAAAACATTTTTAAACATTTAAAATCAAAAGATTTTAACCTTTTTTAAAAAATAGAACCTTTTCTCCAACCAAAATGTTGCAACAGGCTGATATATAAATGAAATAAAGGTGAATCTACTCTTATTAAAGGGAAGCCAGACCCCCATCCTATAGCTAGGATGGCAGCACCCCTGTCAATATTTGGTCCTCAGAGTCTCAGGGAGAATGTGGATGACTTCAGCCACTTGCACGGCCCTGGATCTTGCAGCAGAGGAGGGTGTTTGGGAGGGGATGGCAAGGCTAGATAAGGACTCTTAGCAAGGTATGGTGGCTCATGCCTGTAATCCTAGCACTTTGGGAGGCTGAGGCAGGCGGATCATGAGGTCAGGAGTTCGAGACCAGCCTGGCCAATATGGTGAAACCCCGTCTCTACTAAAAATACAAAAATTAGCTGGGCCTGGTGGCGTGTACCTGTAGTCCCAGCTGCTCAAGAGGCTGAGGCAGGAGAATTGCTTGAAACCGGGAGGCGGAGGTTGCAGTAAGCCAAGATTGCACCACTGCACTCCAGCCTGGGCAACAAAGCAAGACTCCGTCTCAAAAAAAAAAAAAAAAAGACTCTGGACAACATAGTTCCCAGCCCAATTAGAGATTAGTGAAGTGAAGAGGGCAGTGAGGAGGATGTCAAAAGTTCCAGACTCAGGACAATACACAGAATGTGTGCTTTCCTATCTTCCTGACCATCTGTAGAATCAAGTATTTTGCACTCTGGGCAGCAAAAGACTAACTGGCCACCTGCTGGTTTGTCATTATTTGTCTTCTCACCTACTGTACCTAGCCAACTTTTCAGGTTCTCCCCGGAGACACTCTTTAGGTGTCATTTGTGAACTGGAGAAGTCCTCATTAGAACTATTTTTTTGTCCAGTGGCTGTAGCCTTGAAGGCTGGTGTGGCTTGGTCAGTCAGTTCTCTGGATCCTGTGAAGGGACCTGTCCAGCACAGGGAAACAGAGGGAGAAGACCCATCTCAGACAGCACCTGCTCTCCCCTTAACCCAGACTTAAACTCACAGGAACCTAGGAAGACCTTGCCAAGCAAGTACACAGGAAGGGCCTGAGGGGAAGGGCTACTAGTATGGGAGTTAGGAGAAGGAAGTCCTGTGAGTTTAAAGAAATCATGATGGGCTTTCTGGAGGAGGCTGGACCACACAGGACTTTGAGGACAGACACCAAGTTGGGTGTACATGGAACCCAGATCCTTGGTTCTTCTACCTAGCCCAGTGTTTTTGTCCCACGGTAGATGGGTCTGCCCCTCTCTCCCTGAATGCCCTGCCTGCTCTGAGGGGTGAATGCTCACAGAAGCCCAGAGGGCAGGTGGGAAGGCTAGCTTCAGGACTGAGAGCAGCCCCCTGTCTTCACTCCCTAACAACTCTCTGTCTTACTGCTTTCTCCCCACAGGACCCAGCCGCCGCCTCCATCTCTGACGGAGACTGTGACGCCCGGGAGGGTGAGTCAGTAGCCATGAATTACAAACCATCCCCGCTCCAAGTGAAGCTGGGTGAGTGTGTCTGGGGGGTGAGGGAGATGTGGGGAGTAGGCAAGATACTCTGGGCTGGGTCTACAATGAGGTGCCACAAATAAACCAGCTCAGCCTAGATGATTCCAAGACTCAAGCCTTCAAGTCATTGGCACTGCGAGGCACCTTGTCTCCTGCAGGCAAAGAGGGCAGTTACAGTTCTCTGCAGGAGCCTGAAACTCTAAGAGGCATCTCTGAAGCCAAGAACGTTCCAGGTATTCTGGGGCATAGCTGCAGGGGGAAAAGCATGGAACCCCAGAGAGAGGACTTGGAAGTCCCATCAAACACTGGATCAGGCTGAGAGGAAGCTGCCTTAGAAGTGGGATGTTACTTGTTATGTCTAAGGGATAGAAAGGAAAGAGAGTTCCAACCCTAGAAGCCGAGCCCCTCTCCCGATTACAATCTCAGCCCATCTAGAGATCTCTGGGCCCAGTTGGCACCTATCTGGGGGAGTTTTCCCTTCGTTTCTTAGAAAACCCAAATATCTCCCTTCCTTTCTGGGTCACATTTCCCTTGTGGCTTTGTCTCATGTCCATTCCAAAGTCAGTTTACTGTGCAGCCTGATCCTGTGAAGTCCCCTCGCTTCTGGCCACTGTCCACAGCTCCTACCACTATTGCCCTCCCTTCACCTCATGGGCTGTCCCTCTCCCTTCAGGGACCAAAGTTTCACTGTCTCATGGCTGCTGTATATAACACACTTTTATGAAAACTTTGGTTTCTTGAAGAGAAATTACAAAACAGGACATACAGGAAAGAATTTACAATTAAATATAGGTCATTACTATCCTTCCAAGTTCCTCTGCCATCAAGGCCACCCTCCTGTCCATCCTCCTCCTCAGGCTCCAGCTGCCCAACAATTACTGATGCCTCCTCAGTCCTAAGGGCCCTTTGCCTACAACTTTCTCCTTCCTTTCCACAGAGGCCTGTATTTTATTATTCAACTACTATTTTTTTTTCTTACCTTGCTTGCTTCTGTCCTTCCAGACCACATCCAGGGAGCCCCTCGAGCTGTTTTTCTAAACAAGAATAGTCCTCTCCTTGGAATTTGTTTCTATTCCTAGGACATCAGATTAAAACTGCAGCCAATTTTATTTATCAGGGGTGTTGGTTGTTGTTGTTGTTGTTGTTGTTGTTGTTTTGAGACAGAGTCTCTCTCTGTTGTCCAGGCTGGAGTGCAGTGGCATGATCTTGGCTCACTGCAACCTCCGCTTCCCTGGTTCAAGCGATTCTCCTGCCTCAGCCTCTCAAGTAGCTGGGATTATAGGCGCGCATCACCACGCCCAGCTAATTTTTGTATTTTTAGTAAAGATAGGCTTTCGCCATGTTGGCCAGGCTGGTCTGGAACTCCTGGTCTCAAGTGATCCGCCCACCTCGGCCTCCCAGAGTGCTGGGATTACAGGCATGAGCCACCATACCCAGCCTATTATTGTTTAATATCACAATACAAATATTTTAACAAGCATAACTTCTTTACTCTCCCCCATCACATTCTCCTCCTAAGAGGTAACCATTCCAAGCCTTTTCAGTTTTTGTAGTTTTACTTTGTATTTTAACATAAGTGGTATCATATTGTGCACATTTTCTGAAACTTGGCCTTCCCTCTTCCACCACCTAAATCTTGGAGCTCCTTCCAATGTCATCATATTGTGACTTCATTCTTTTAAATGGTTGTATAGTAGTCTTTAGTTTGGTTTTGCCAGTTTATTGTTTGCTTTTTTCCCACTATTTCAAACAATTTCAGCATGCTTTTAAAATAACATCTTTTTTTCTCCCCATTACATTACCATCAAAGCTCCTCATGAAAATTCACAGCATTGTCCCAGTTGCACCTAGTACCACCAGGAACTTTAAGGCAAATTGCACCCCCTAGAGGCCTGGAGTGGTAATGGCAGCTGCCACCTGCTGGA